>NC_000018.10:18504859-18674376 GCF_000001405.40 Homo sapiens
CAATGATAGACTGGATTAAGAAAATGTGGCACATATACACCATGGAATACTATGCAGCCATAAAAAATGATGAGTTCATGTCCTTTGCAGGGACATGGATGAAATTGGAAATCATCATTCTCTGTAAACTATCACAAGGACAAAAAACCAAACACCGCATGTTCTCACTCATAGATGGGAATTGAACAATGAGAACACATGGACACAGGAAGGGGAACATCACACTCTTGGGACTGTTGTGGGGTGGGGGGAGGGGGAAGGGGCAAGAGGATATTTGCATAGCTTTGAGGATTTCGTGGGAAACGGGATTGTCTTCAGGTAAAATCTAGACAGAAGAGCATTCTCAGAAACTTCTTTGGGATGTTTGCATTCAAGTCACAGAGTAGAACATTCCCTTTGGTAGAGCAGGTTTGAAACACTCTTTTTGTAGTGTCTGGAAGTGGACATTTGGAGCGCTTTCAGGCCTATGTTGGAAAGGGAAATATCTTCCCGTAACAACTAGGCAGAAGCATTCTCAGAAACTTATTTGAGATGTGTGTACTCAACTAAGAGAATTGAACCACCGTTTTGAAGGAGCAGTTTTGAAACACTCTTTTTCTGGAATCTGCAAGAGGATATTTGCCTAGCCTTGAGGATTTCGTTGGAAACGGGATTGTCTTCAGATCAAATCTAGACAGAAGCATTCTCAGAAACTTCTTTGGGATGTTTGCATTCAAGTCACAGAGTAGAACATTCCCTTTGGTAGAGCAGGTTTGAAACACTCTTTTTTTAGTATATGGAAGTGGACATTTGGAGCGCTTTCAGGCCTACGTTGGAAAAGGAAATATCTTCCCATAACAACTAGACAGAAGCATTCTCAGAAACTAGTTTCTGATGTGTGTCCTCAACTAACACAGTTGAACATTTCTTTAGACAGAACAGTTTTGAAACACTCTTTTTGTGGAATCTGCAAGTGGCTATTTGGCTAGATTTGAGGATTTCGTTGGAAACGGGATTACATATAAAAAGCAGACAGCAGCATTCTCAGAAAGTTCTTTGTGATGATTGCATTCAAGTCACAGAATTGAACATTCCCTTTCACAGAGCAGGTTTGAAACACTCTTTTTGTAGTGTGTGTAAGTGGACATTTGGAGCACTTACCGGCCTAAGGTGAAAAAGGAAATATCTTCCCATAAAAACTAGACAGAAGCATTCTCAGAAACTTACTCGTGATGTGTGTCCTCAACTAAAGGAGTAGAACCTTTCTTTTCATAGAGAAGTTTTGAAACGCTCTTTTTGTGGAATCTGCAAGTGGATATTTGGCTAGTTTTGAGGATTTCGTTGGAAGCGGGAATTCATACAAATTGCAGACTGCAGCGTTCTGAGAAACATCTTTGTGATGTTTGTATTCAGGACACAGAGTTGAACATTCCCTATCATAGAGCAGGTTGGAATCACTCCTTTTGTAGTATCTGGAAGTGGACATTTGGAGCGCTTTCAGGCCTATGTTGGAAAAGGAAATATCTTCCCATAACAACTAGACAGAAGCATTCTCAGAAACTTATTTGAGATGTGTGTACTCAACTAAGAGAATTGAACCACCGTTTTGAAGGAGCAGTTTTGAAACACTCTTTTTCTGGAATCTGCAAGTGGATATTTGGCTAGCTTTGGGGATTTCGCTGGAAGCGGGAATACATATAAAAAGCCCACAGCAGCGTTCTGAGAAACTGCTTTCTGATGTTTGCATTCAAGTCAAAAGTTGAACACTCCCTTTCATAGAGCAGTCCTGAAACACTCCTTTTGTAGTATCTGGAACTGGACTTTTGGAGCGCTTTCAGGGCTAAGGTGAAAAAGGAAATATCTTCCCATAAAAACTGGACAGAAGCATTCTCAGAAACTTGTTTATGCTGTATCTACTCAACTAACAAAGTTGAACCTTTCTTTTGATAGAGCAGTTTTGAAATGCTCTTTTTGTGGAATCTGCAAGTGGATATTTGGCTAGTTTTGAGGATTTCGTTGGAAGCGGGAATTCATACAAATTGCAGACTGCAGCGTTCTGAGAAACATCTTTGTGATGTTTGTATTCAGGACACAGAGATGAACATTCCCTATCATAGAGCAGGTTGGAATCACTCCTTTTGTAGTATCTGGAAGTGGACATTTGGAGCGCTTTCAGGCCTATGTTGAAAAAGGAAATATCTTCCCATAACAACTAGACACAAGCATTCTCAGAAACTTGTTTGTGATGTGTGCCCTCTACTGACAGAGTTGAACCTTTCTTTTCATAGAGCAGTTTTGAAACACTCTTTTTGTAGAATCCGCAAGAGGATATTTGCATAGCTTTGAGGATTTCGTGGGAAACGGGATTGTCTTCAGGTAAAATCTAGACAGAAGCATTCTCAGAAACTTCTTTGGGATGTTTGCATTCAAGTCACAGAGTAGAACATTCCCTTTGGTAGAGCAGGTTTGAAACACTCTTTTTGTAGTATCTGGAAGTGGACATTTGGAGCGCTTTCAGGCCCATGTTGGAAAGGGAAATATCTTCCCGTAACAACTAGGCAGAAGCATTCTCAGAAACTTATTTGAGATGTGTGTACTCAACTAAGAGAATTGAACCACCGTTTTGAAGGAGCAGTTTTGAAACACTCTTTTTCTGGAATCTGCAAGAGTATATTTGCCTAGCCTTGAGGATTTCGTTGGAAACGGGATTGTCTTCAGATAAAATCTAGACAGAAGCATTCTCAGAAACTTCTTTGGGATGTTTGCATTCAAGTCACAGAGTAGAACATTCCCTTTGGTAGAGCAGGTTTGAAACACTCTTTTTTTAGTATATGGAAGTGGACATTTGGAGCGCTTTCAGGCCTACGTTGGAAAAGGAAATATCTTCCGATAACAACTAGACAGAAGCATTCTCAGAAACTAGTTTCTGATGTGTGTCCTCAACTAACACAGTTGAACTTTTCTATAGACAGGACAGTTTTGAAACACTCTTTTTGTGGAATCTGCAAGTGGATATTTAGCTAGATTTGAGGATTTCGTTGGAAACGGGATTACATATAAAAAGCAGACAGCAGCATTCTCAGAAAGTTCTTTGTGATGATTGCATTCAAGTCACAGAATTGAACATTCCCTTTCAAAGAGCAGGTTTGAAACACTCTTTATGTAGTGTGTGTAAGTGGACATTTGGAGCGCTTTCCGGCCTAAGGTGAAAAAGGAAATATCTTCCCATAAAAACTAGACAGAAGCATTCTCAGAAACTTACTCGTGATGTGTGTCCTCAACTAAAGGAGTAGAACCTTTCTTTTCATAGAGAAGTTTTGAAACGCTCTTTTTGTGGAATCTGCAAGTGGATATTTGGCTAGTTTTGAGGATTTCGTTGGAAGCGGGAATTCATACAAATTGCAGACTGCAGCGTTCTGAGAAACATCTTTGTGATGTTTGTATTCAGGACACAGAGTTGAACATTCCCTATCATAGAGCAGGTTGGAATCACTCCTTTTGTAGTATCTGGAAGTGGACATTTGGAGCGCTTTCAGGCCTATGTTGAAAAAGGAAATATCTTCCCATAACAACTAGACACAAGCATTCTCAGAAACTTATTTGAGATGTGTGTACTCAACTAAGAGAATTGAACCACCGTTTTGAAGGAGCAGTTTTGAAACTCTCTTTTTCTGGAATCTGCAAGTGGATATTTGGCTAGCTTTGGGGATTTCGCTGGAAGCGGGAATACATATAAAAAGCACACAGCAGCGTTCTGAGAAACTGCTTTCTGATGTTTGCATTCAAGTCAAAAGTTGAACACTCCCTTTCATAGAGCAGTCTTGAAACACCCCTTTTGTAGTATCTGGAACTGGACTTTTGGAGCGATTTCAGGGCTAAGGTGAAAAAGGAAATATCTTCCCATAAAAACTGGACAGAAGCATTCTCAGAAACTTGTTTATGCTGTATCTACTCAACTAACAAAGTTGAACCTTTCTTTTGATAGAGCAGTTTTGAAATGGTCTTTTTGTGGAATCTGCAAGTGGATATTTGGCTAGTTTTGAGGATTTCGTTGGAAGCGGGAATTCATACAAATTGCAGACTGCAGCGTTCTGAGAAACATCTTTGTGATGTTTGTATTCAGGACACAGAGTTGAACATTCCCTATCATAGAGCAGGTTGGAATCACTCCTTTTGTAGTATCTGGAAGTGGACATTTGGAGCGCTTTCAGGCCTATGTTGAAAAAGGAAATATCTTCCCATAACAACTAGACACAAGCATTCTCAGAAACTTGTTTGTGATGTGTGCCCTCTACTGACAGAGTTGAACCTTTCTTTTCATAGAGCAGTTTTGAAACACTCTTTTTGTAGAATCTGCAAGAGGATATTTGCATAGATTTGAGGATTTCGTGGGAAACGGGATTGTCTTCAGGTAAAATCTAGACAGAAGCATTCTCAGAAACTTCTTTGGGATGTTTGCATTCAAGTCACAGAGTAGAACATTCCCTTTGGTAGAGCAGGTTTGAAACACTCTTTTTGTAGTATCTGGAAGTGGACATTTGGAGCGCTTTCAGGCCTATGTTGGAAAGGGAAATATCTTCCCGTAACAACTAGGCAGAAGCATTCTCAGAAACTTATTTGAGATGTGTGTACTCAACTAAGAGAATTGAACCACCGTTTTGAAGGAGCAGTTTTGAAACACTCTTTTTCTGGAATCTGCAAGAGGATATTTGCCTAGCCTTGAGGATTTCGTTGGAAACGGGATTGTCTTCAGATCAAATCTAGACAGAAGCATTCTCAGAAACTTCTTTGGGATGTTTCTATTCAAGTCACAGAGTAGAACATTCTCTTTGGAAGAGCAGGTTTGAAACACTCTTTTTTTAGTATATGGAAGTGGACATTTGGAGCGCTTTCAGACCTATGTTGGAAAAGGAAATATCTTCCCATAACAACTAGACAGAAGCATTCTCAGAAACTAGTTTCTGATGTGTGTCCTCAACTAACACAGTTGAACATTTCTTTAGACAGAACAGTTTTGAAACACTCTTTTTGTGGAATCTGCAAGTGGCTATTTGGCTAGATTTGAGGATTTCGTTGGAAACGGGATTACATATAAAAAGCAGACAGCAGCATTCTCAGAAAGTTCTTTGTGATGATTGCATTCAAGTCACAGAATTGAACATTCCCTTTCACAGAGCAGGTTTGAAACACTCTTTTTGTAGTGTGTGTAAGTGGACATTTGGAGCGCTTTCCGGCCTAAGGTGAAAAAGGACATATCTTCCCATAAAAACTAGACAGAAGCATTCTCAGAAACTTACTCGTGATGTGTGTCCTCAACTAAAGGAGTAGAACCTTTCTTTTCATAGAGAAGTTTTGAAACGCTCTTTTTGTGGAATCTGCAAGTGGATATTTGGCTAGTTTGGAGGATTTCGTTGGAAGCGGGAATTCATACAAATTGCAGACTGCAGCGTTCTGAGAAACATCTTTGTGATGTTTGTATTCAGGACAGAGAGTTGAACATTCCCTATCATAGAGCAGGTTGGAATCACTCCTTTTGTAGTATCTGGAAGTGGACATTTTAGCGCTTTCAGGCCTATGTTGAAAAAGGAAATATCTTCCCATAACAACTAGACACAAGCATTCTCAGAAACTTGTTTGTGATGTGTGCTCTCTACTGACAGAGTTGAACCTTTCTTTTCATAGAGCAGTTTTGAAACACTCTTTTTGTAGAATCTGCAAGAGGATATTTGCATAGCTTTGAGGGTTTCGTGGGAAACGGGATTGTCTTCAGGTAAAATCTAGACAGAAGCATTCTCAGAAACTTCTTTGGGATGTTTGCATTCAAGTCACAGAGTAGAACATTCCCTTTGGTAGAGCAGGTTTGAAACCCTCTTTTTGTAGTATCTGGAAGTGGACATTTGGAGCGCTTTCAGGCCCATGTTGGAAAGGGAAATATCTTCCCGTAACAACTAGGCAGAAGCATTCTCAGAAACTTATTTGAGATGTGTGTACTCAACTAAGAGAATTGAACCACCGTTTTGAAGGAGCAGTTTTGAAACACTCTTTTTCTGGAATCTGCAAGAGTATATTTGCCTAGCCTTGAGGATTTCGTTGGAAACGGGATTGTCTTCAGATAAAATCTAGACAGAAGCATTCTCAGAAACTTCTTTGGGATGTTTGCATTCAAGTCACAGAGTAGAACATTCTCTTTGGTAGAGCAGGTTTGAAACACTCTTTTTTTAGTATCTGGAAGTGGACATTTGGAGCGCTTTCAGGCCTACGTTGGAAAAGGAAATATCTTCCCATAACAACTAGACAGAAGCATTCTCAGAAACTAGTTTCTGATGTGTGTCCTCAACTAACACAGTTGAACATTTCTTTAGACAGAACAGTTTTGAAACACTCTTTTTGTGGAATCTGCAAGTGGCTATTTGGCTAGATTTGAGGATTTCGTTGGAAACGGGATTACATATAAAAAGCAGTCAGCAGCATTCTCAGAAAGTTCTTTGTGATGATTGCATTCAAGTCACAGAATTGAACATTCCCTTTCACAGAGCAGGTTTGAAACACTCTTTTTGTAGTGTGTGTAAGTGGACATTTGGAGCACTTACCGGCCTAAGGTGAAAAAGGAAATATCTTCCCATAAAAACTAGACAGAAGCATTCTCAGAAACTTACTCGTGATGTGTGTCCTCAACTAAAGGAGTAGAACCTTTCTTTTCATAGAGAAGTTTTGAAACGCTCTTTTTGTGGAATCTGCAAGTGGATATTTGGCTAGTTTTGAGGATTTCGTTGGAAGCGGGAATTCATACAAATTGCAGACTGCAGCGTTCTGAGAAACATCTTTGTGATGTTTGTATTCAGGACACAGAGTTGAACATTCCCTATCATAGAGCAGGTTGGAATCACTCCTTTTGTAGTATCTGGAAGTGGACATTTGGAGCGCTTTCAGGCCTATGTTGGAAAAGGAAATATCTTCCCATAACAACTAGACAGAAGCATTCTCAGAAACTTATTTGAGATGTGTGTACTCAACTAAGAGAATTGAACCACCGTTTTGAAGGAGCAGTTTTGAAACACTCTTTTTCTGGAATCTGCACGTGGATATTTGGCTAGCTTTGGGGATTTCGCTGGAAGCGGGAATACATATAAAAAGCACACAGCAGCGTTCTGAGAAACTGCTTTCTGATGTTTGCATTCAAGTCAAAAGTTGAACACTCCCTTTCATAGAGCAGTCTTGAAACACCCCTTTTGTAGTATCTGGAACTGGACATTTGGAGCGCTTTCAGGGCTAAGGTGAAAAAGGAAATATCTTCCCATAAAAACTGGACAGAAGCATTCTCAGAAACTTGTTTATGCTGTATCTACTCAACTAACAAAGTTGAACCTTTCTTTTGATAGAGCAGTTTTGAAATGCTCTTTTTGTGGAATCTGCAAGTGGATATTTGGCTAGGTTTGAGGATTTCGTTGGAAGCGGGAATTCATACAAATTGCAGACTGCAGCGTTCTGAGAAACATCTTTGTGATGTTTGTATTCAGGACACAGAGTTGAACATTCCCTATCATAGAGCAGGTTGGAATCACTCCTTTTGTAGTATCTGGAAGTGGACATTTGGAGCGCTTTCAGGCCTATGTTGAAAAAGGAAATATCTTCCCATAACAACTAGGCAGAAGCATTCTCAGAAACTTGTTTGTGATGTGTGCCCTCTACTGACACAGTTGAACCTTTCTTTTCATAGAGCAGTTTCGAAACACTCTTTTTGTACAATCTGCAAGAGGATATTTGCATAGCTTTGAGGATTTCGTGGGAAACGGGTTTGTCTTCAGGTAAAATCTAGACAGAAGCATTCTCAGAAACTTCTTTGGGATGTTTGCATTCAAGTCACAGAGTAGAACATTCCCTTTGGTAGAGCAGGTTTGAAACACTCTTTTTGTAGTGTGTGTAAGTGGACATTTGGAGCGCTTTCAGGCCTACGTTGGAAAAGGAAATATCTTCCCATAACAACTAGACAGAAGCATTCTCAGAAACTAGTTTCTGATGTGTGTCCTCAACTAACACAGTTGAACTTTTCTTTAGACAGAATAGTTTTGAAACACTCTTTTTGTGGAATCTGCAAGTGGATATTTGGCTAGATTTCAGGATTTCGTTGGAAACGGGATTACATATAAAAAGCAGACAGCAGCATTCTCAGAAACTTCTTTGTGATGATTGCATTCAAGTCACAGAATTGAACATTCCCTTTCACAGAGCAGGTTTGAAACACTCTTTTTGTAGTGTGTGTAAGTGGACATTTGGAGCGCTTTCCGGCCTAAGGTGAACAAGGAAATATCTTCCCATAAAAACTAGACAGAAGCATTCTCAGAAACTTACTCGTGATGTGTGTCCTCAACTAAAGGAGTAGAACCTTTCTTTTCATAGAGAAGTTTTGAAACGCTCTTTTTGTGGAATCTGCAAGTGGATATTTGGCTAGTTTGGAGGATTTCGTTGGAAGCGGGAATTCATACAAGATGCAGACTGCAGCGTTCTGAGAAACATCTTTGTGATGTTTGTATTCAGGACACAGAGTTGAACATTCCCTATCATAGAGCAGGTTTGAATCACTCCTTTTGTAGTATCTGGAAGTGGACATTTGGAGCGCTTTCAGGCCTATGTTGGAAAAGGAAATATCTTCCCATAGCAACTAGACAGAAGCATTCCCAGAAACTTATTTGAGATGTGTGTACTCAACTAAGAGAATTGAACCACCGTTTTGAAGGAGCAGTTTGGAAACACTCTTTTTCTGGAATCTGCAAGTGGATATTTGGCTAGCTTTGGGGATTTCGCTGGAAGCGGGAATACATATAAAAAGCACACAGCAGCGTTCTGAGAAACTGCTTTCTGATGTTTGCATTCAAGTCAAAAGTTGAACACTCCCTTTCATAGAGCAGTCTTGAAACACCCCTTTTGTAGTATCTGGAACTGGAAATTTGGAGCGCTTTCAGGGCTAAGGTGAAAAAGGAAATATCTTCCCATAAAAACTGGACAGAAGCATTCTCAGAAACTTGTTTATGCTGTATCTACTCAACTAACAAAGTTGAACCTTTCTTTTGATAGAGCAGTTTTGAAATGCTCTTTTTGTGGAATCTGCAAGTGGATATTTGGCTAGTTTGGAGGATTTCGTTGGAAGCGGGAATTCATACAAATTGCAGACTGCAGCGTTCTGAGAAACATCTTTGTGATGTTTGTATTCAGGACACAGAGTTGAACATTCCCTATCATAGAGCAGGTTGGAATCACTCCTTTTGTAGTATCTGGAAGTGGACATTTGGAGCGCTTTCAGGCCTATTTTGGAAAGGGAAATATCTTCCCGTAACAACTATGCAGAAGCATTCTCAGAAACTTGTTTGTGATGTGTGCCCTCTACTGACAGAGTTGAACCTTTCTTTTCATAGAGCAGTTTTGAAACACTCTTTTTGTAGAATCTGCAAGAGGATATTTGCATAGCTTTGAGGATTTCGTGGGAAACGGGATTGTCTTCAGGTAAAATCTAGACAGAAGCATTCTCAGAAACTTCTTTGGGATGTTTGCATTCAAGTCACAGAGTAGAACATTCCCTTTGGTAGAGCAGGTTTGAAACACTCTTTTTGTAGTATCTGGAAGTGGACATTTGGAGCGCTTTCAGGCCCATGTTGGAAAGGGAAATATCTTCCCGTAACAACTAGGCAGAAGCATTCTCAGAAACTTATTTGAGATGTGTGTACTCAACTAAGAGAATTGAACCACCGTTTTGAAGGAGCAGTTTTGAAACACTCTTTTTCTGGAATCTGCAAGAGTATATTTGCCTAGCCTTGAGGATTTCGTTGGAAACGGGATTGTCTTCAGAGAAAATCTAGACAGAAGCATTCTCAGAAACTTCTTTGGGATGTTTGCATTCAAGTCACAGAGTAGAACATTCCCTTTGGTAGAGCAGGTTTGAAACACTCTTTTTGTAGTATCTGGAAGTGGACATTTGGAGCGCTTTCAGGCCTACGTTGGAAAAGGAAATATCTTCCCATAACAACTAGACAGAAGCATTCTCAGAAACTAGTTTCTGATGTGTGTCCTCAACTAACACAGTTGAACATTTCTTTAGACAGAACAGTTTTGAAACACTCTTTTTGTGGAATCTGCAAGTGGCTATTTGGCTAGATTTGAGGATTTCGTTGGAAACGGGATTACATATAAAAAGCAGTCAGCAGCATTCTCAGAAAGTTCTTTGTGATGATTGCATTCAAGTCACAGAATTGAACATTCCCTTTCACAGAGCAGGTTTGAAACACTCTTTTTGTAGTGTGTGTAAGTGGACATTTGGAGCACTTACCGGCCTAAGGTGAAAAAGGAAATATCTTCCCATAAAAACTAGACAGAAGCATTCTCAGAAACTTACTCGTGATGTGTGTCCTCAACTAAAGGAGTAGAACCTTTCTTTTCATAGAGAAGTTTTGAAACGCTCTTTTTGTGGAATCTGCAAGTGGATATTTGGCTAGTTTTGAGGATTTCGTTGGAAGCGGGAATTCATACAAATTGCAGACTGCAGCGTTCTGAGAAACATCTTTGTGATGTTTGTATTCAGGACACAGAGTTGAACATTCCCTATCATAGAGCAGGTTGGAATCACTCCTTTTGTAGTATCTGGAAGTGGACATTTGGAGCGCTTTCAGGCCTATGTTGGAAAAGGAAATATCTTCCCATAACAACTAGACAGAAGCATTCCCAGAAACTTATTTGAGATGTGTGTACTCAACTAAGAGAATTGAACCACCGTTTTGAAGGAGCAGTTTGGAAACACTCTTTTTCTGGAATCTGCAAGTGGATATTTGGCTAGCTTTGGGGATTTCGCTGGAAGCGGGAATACATATAAAAAGCACACAGCAGCGTTCTGAGAAACTGCTTTCTGATGTTTGCATTCAAGTCAAAAGTTGAACACTCCCTTTCATAGAGCAGTCTTGAAACACCCCTTTTGTAGTATCTGGAACTGGAAATTTGGAGCGCTTTCAGGGCTAAGGTGAAAAAGGAAATATCTTCCCATAAAAACTGGACAGAAGCATTCTCAGAAACTTGTTTATGCTGTATCTACTCAACTAACAAAGTTGAACCTTTCTTTTGATAGAGCAGTTTTGAAATGCTCTTTTTGTGGAATCTGCAAGTGGATATTTGGCTAGTTTTGAGGATTTCGCTGGAAGCGGGAATTCATACAAATTGCAGACTGCAGCGTTCTGAGAAACATCTTTGTGATGTTTGTATTCAGGACACAGAGTTGAACATTCCCTATCATAGAGCAGGTTTGAATCACTCCTTTTGTAGTAACTGGAAGTGGACATTTGGAGCGCTTTCAGGCCTATGTTGGAAAAGGAAATATCTTCCCATAACAACTAGACAGAAGCATTCTCAGAAACTTGTTTGTGATGTGTGCCCTCTACTGACAGAGTTGAACCTTTCTTTTCATAGAGCAGTTTTGAAACACTCTTTTTGTAGAATCTGCAAGAGGATATTTGCATAGCTTTGAGGATTTCGTGGGAAACGGGACTGTCTTCAGGTAAAATCTAGACAGAAGCATTCTCAGAAACTTCTTTGGGATGTTTGCATTCAAGTCACAGAGCAGAACATTCCCTTTGGTAGAGCAGGTTTGAAACACTCTTTTTGTAGTATCTGGAAGTGGACATTTGGAGCGCTTTCAGGCCTATGTTGGAAAGGGAAATATCTTCCCGTAACAACTAGGCAGAAGCATTCTCAGAAACTTATTTGAGATGTGTGTACTCAACTAAGAGAATTGAACCACCGTTTTGAAGGAGCAGTTTTGAAACACTCTTTTTCTGGAATCTGCAAGAGGATATTTGCCTAGCCTTGAGGATTTCGTTGGAAACGGGATTGTCTTCAGATCAAATCTAGTCAGAAGCATTCTCAGAAACTTCTTTGGGATGTTTGCATTCAAGTCACAGAGTAGAACATTCCCTTTGGTAGAGCAGGTTTGAAACACTCTTTTTTTAGTATATGGAAGTGGACATTTGGAGCGCTTTCAGGCCTACGTTGGAAAAGGAAATATCTTCCCATAACAACTAGACAGAAGCATTCTCAGAAACTAGTTTCTGATATGTGTCCTCAACTAACACAGTTGAACTTTTCTTTAGACAGAACAGTTTTGAAACACTCTTTTTGTGGAATCTGCAAGTGGATATTGGGCAAGATTTGAGGATTTCGTTGGAAACGGGATTACATATAAAAAACAGTCAGCAGCATTCTCAGAAACTTCTTTGTGATGATTGCATTCAAGTCACAGAATTGAACATTCCCTTTCACAGAGCAGGTTTGAAACACTCTTTTTGTAGTGTGTGTAAGTGGACATTTGGAGCGCTTTCCGGCCTAAGGTGAACAAGGAAATATCTTCCCATAAAAACTAGACAGAAGCATTCTCAGAAACTTACTCGTGATGTGTGTCCTCAACTAAAGGAGTAGAACCTTTCTTTTCATAGAGAAGTTTTGAAACGCTCTTTTTGTGGAATCTGCAAGTGGATATTTGGCTAGTTTGGAGGATTTCGTTGGAAGCGGGAATTCATACAAATTGCAGACTGCAGCGTTCTGAGAAACATCTTTGTGATGTTTGTATTCAGGACACAGAGTTGAACATTCCCTATCATAGAGCAGGTTGGAATCACTCCTTTTGTAGTATCTGGAAGTGGACATTTGGAGCGCTTTCAGGCCTATGTTGGAAAAGGAAATATCTTCCCATAACAACTAGACAGAAGTTTTCTCAGAAACTTATTTGAGATGTGTGTACTCAACTAAGAGAATTGAACCACCGTTTTGAAGGAGCAGTTTTGAAACTCTCTTTTTCTGGAATCTGCAAGTGGATATTTGGCTAGCTTTGGGGATTTCGCTGGAAGCGGGAATACATATAAAAAGCACACAGCAGCGTTCTGAGAAACTGCTTTCTGATGTTTGCATTCAAGTCAAAAGTTGAACACTCCCTTTCATAGAGCAGTCTTGAAACACCCCTTTTGTAGTATCTGGAACTGGACTTTTGGAGCGATTTCAGGGCTAAGGTGAAAAAGGAAATATCTTCCCATAAAAACTGGACAGAAGCATTCTCAGAAACTTGTTTATGCTGTATCTACTCAACTAACAAAGTTGAACCTTTCTTTTGATAGAGCAGTTTTGAAATGGTCTTTTTGTGGAATCTGCAAGTGGATATTTGGCTAGTTTTGAGGATTTCGTTGGAAGCGGGAATTCATACAAATTGCAGACTGCAGCGTTCTGAGAAACATCTTTGTGATGTTTGTATTCAGGACACAGAGTTGAACATTCCCTATCATAGAGCAGGTTGGAATCACTCCTTTTGTAGTATCTGGAAGTGGACATTTGGAGCGCTTTCAGGCCTATTTTGGAAAGGGAAATATCTTCCCGTAACAACTATGCAGAAGCATTCTCAGAAACTTGTTTGTGATGTGTGCCCTCTACTGACAGAGTTGAACCTTTCTTTTCATAGAGCAGTTTTGAAACACTCTTTTTGTAGAATCTGCAAGAGGATATTTGCATAGCTTTGAGGATTTCGTGGGAAACGGGATTGTCTTCAGGTAAAATCTAGACAGAAGCATTCTCAGAAACTTCTTTGGGATGTTTGCATTCAAGTCACAGAGCAGAACATTCCCTTTGGTAGAGCAGGTTTGAAACACTCTTTTTGTAGTATCTGGAAGTGGACATTTGGAGCGCTTTCAGGCCTATGTTGGAAAGGGAAATATCTTCCCGTAACAACTAGGCAGAAGCATTCTCAGAAACTTATTTGAGATGTGTGTACTCAACTAAGAGAATTGAACCACCGTTTTGAAGGAGCAGTTTTGAAACACTCTTTTTCTGGAATCTGCAAGAGGATATTTGCCTAGCCTTGAGGATTTCGTTGGAAACGGGATTGTCTTCAGATCAAATCTAGACAGAAGCATTCTCAGAAACTTCTTTGGGATGTTTGCATTCATGTCACAGAGTAGAACATTCCCTTTGGTAGAGCAGGTTTGAAACACTCTTTTTTTAGTATATGGAAGTGGACATTTGGAGCGCTTTCAGGCCTACGTTGGAAAAGGAAATATCTTCCCATAACAACTAGACAGAAGCATTCTCAGAAACTAGTTTCTGATGTGTGTCCTCAACTAACACAGTTGAACATTTCTTTAGACAGAACAGTTTTGAAACACTCTTTTTGTGGAATCTGCAAGTGGCTATTTGGCTAGATTTGAGGATTTCGTTGGAAACGGGATTACATATAAAAAGCAGACAGCAGCATTCTCAGAAAGTTCTTTGTGATGTATGCATTCAAGTCACAGAATTGAACATTCCCTTTCACAGAGCAGGTTTGAAACACTCTTTTTGTAGTGTGTGTAAGTGGACATTTGGAGCACTTACCGGCCTAAGGTGAAAAAGGAAATATCTTCCCATAAAAACTAGACAGAAGCATTCTCAGAAACTTACTCGTGATGTGTGTCCTCAACTAAAGGAGTAGAACCTTTCTTTTCATAGAGAAGTTTTGAAACGCTCTTTTTGTGGAATCTGCAAGTGGATATTTGGCTAGTTTTGAGGATTTCGTTGGAAGCGGGAATTCATACAAATTGCAGACTGCAGCGTTCTGAGAAACATCTTTGTGATGTTTGTATTCAGGACACAGAGTTGAACATTCCCTATCATAGAGCAGGTTTGAATCACTCCTTTTGTTGTATCTGGAAGTGGACATTTGGAGCACTTTCCGGCCTAAGGTGAAAAAGGAAATATCTTCCCATAACAACTAGACACAAGCATTCTCAGAAACTTATTTGAGATGTGTGTATTCAACTAAGAGAATTGAACCACCGTTTTGAAGGAGCAGTTTTGAAACACTCTTTTTCTGGAATCTGCAATTGGATATTTAGCTAGATATGAGGATTTCGTTGGAAACGGGATTACATATACAAAGCAGACAGCAGCAGTCTCAGAAAGTTCTTTGTGATGATTGCATTCAAGTCACAGAATTGAACATTCCCTTTCACAGAGCAGATTTGAAACACTCTTTTTGTAGTGTGTGTAAGTGGACATTTGGAGCACTTTCCGGCCTAAGGTGAAAAAGGAAATATCTTCCCATAAAAACTAGACAGAAGCATTCTCAGAAACTTACTGGTGATGTGTGTCCTCAACTAAAGGAGTAGAACCTTTCTTTTTATAGAGAAGTTTTGAAACGCTCTTTTTGTGGAATCTGCAAGTGGATATTTGGCTAGTTTTGAGGATTTCGTTGGAAGCGGGAATTCATACAAATTGCAGACTGCAGCATTCTCAGAAACTTGTTTATGCTGTATCTACTCAACTAACAAAGTTGAACCTTTCTTTTGATAGAGCAGTTTTGAAATGCTCTTTTTGTGGAATCTGCAAGTGGATATTTGGCTAGTTTTGAGGATTTCGTTGGAAGCGGGAATTCATACAAATTGCAGACTGCAGCGTTCTGAGAAACATCTTTGTGATGTTTGTATTCAGGACAGAGAGTTGAACATTCCCTATCATAGAGCAGGTTGGAATCACTCCTTTTGTAGTATCTGGAAGTGGACATTTGGAGCGCTTTCAGGCCTATGTTGAAAAAGGAAATATCTTCCCATAACAACTAGACACAAGCATTCTCAGAAACTTGTTTGTGATGTGTGCCCTCTACTGACAGAGTTGAACCTTTCTTTTCATAGAGCAGTTTTGAAACACTCTTTTTGTAGAATCTGCAAGAGGATATTTGCATAGCTTTGAGGATTTCGTGGGAAACGGGATTGTCTTCAGGTAAAATCTAGACAGAAGCATTCTCAGAAACTTCTTTGGGATGTTTGCATTCAAGTCACAGAGCAGAACATTCCCTTTGGTAGAGCAGGTTTGAAACACTCTTTTTGTAGTATCTGGAAGTGGACATTTGGAGCGCTTTCAGGCCTATGTTGGAAAGGGAAATATCTTCCCGTAACAACTAGGCAGAAGCATTCTCAGAAACTTATTTGAGATGTGTGTACTCAACTAAGAGAATTGAACCACCGTTTTGAAGGAGCAGTTTTGAAACACTCTTTTTCTGGAATCTGCAAGAGGATATTTGCCTAGCCTTGAGGATTTCGTTGGAAACGGGATTGTGTTCAGATCAAATCTAGACAGAAAGCATTCTCAGAAACTTCTTTGGGATGTTTGCATTCAAGTCACAGAGTAGAACATTCCCTTTGGTAGAGCAGGTTTGAAACACTCTTTTTGTAGTATCTGGAAGTGGACATTTGGAGCGCTTTCAGGCCTACGTTGGAAAAGGAAATATCTTCCCATAACAACTAGACAGAAGCATTCTCAGAAACTAGTTTCTGATGTGTGTCCTCAACTAACACAGTTGAACATTTCTTTAGACAGAACAGTTTTGAAACACTCTTTTTGTGGAATCTGCAAGTGGCTATTTGGCTAGATTTGAGGATTTCGTTGGAAACGGGATTACATATAAAAAGCAGACAGCAGCATTCTCAGAAAGTTCTTTGTGATGATTGCATTCAAGTCACAGAATTGAACATTCCCTTTCACAGAACAGGTTTGAAACACTCTTTTTGTAGTGTGTGTAAGTGGACATTTGGAGCACTTTCCGGCCTAAGGTGAAAAAGGAAATATCTTCCCATAAAAACTAGACAGAAGCATTCTCAGAAACTTACTCGTGATGTGTGTCCTCAACTAAAGGAGTAGAACCTTTCTTTTCATAGAGAAGTTTTGAAACCCTCTTTTTGTGGAATCTGCAAGTGGATATTTGGCTAGTTTTGAGGATTTCGTTGGAAGCGGGAATTCATACAAATTGCAGACTGCAGCGTTCTGAGAAACATCTTTGTGATGTTTGTATTCAGGACACAGAGTTGAACATTCCCTATCATAGAGCAGGTTTGAATCACTCCTTTTGTAGTATCTGGAAGTGGACATTTGGAGCGCTTTCAGGCCTATGTTGGAAAAGGAAATATCTTCCCATAACAACTAGACAGAAGCATTCCCAGAAACTTATTTGAGATGTGTGTACTCAACTAAGAGAATTGAACCACCGTTTTGAAGGAGCAGTTTGGAAACACTCTTTTTCTGGAATCTGCAAGTGGATATTTGGCTAGCTATGGGGATTTCGCTGGAAGCGGGAATACATATAAAAAGCACACAGCAGCGTTCTGAGAAACTGCTTTCTGATGTTTGCATTCAAATCAAAAGTTGAACACTCCCTTTCATAGAGCAGTCTTGAAACACCCCTTTTGTAGTATCTGGAACTGGACATTTGGGGCGCTTTCAGGGCTAAGGTGAAAAAGGAAATATCTTCCCATAAAAACTGGACAGAAGCATTCTCAGAAACTTGTTTATGCTGTATCTACTCAACTAACAAAGTTGAACCTTTCTTTTGATAGAGCAGTTTTGAAATGGTCTTTTTGTGGAATCTGCAAGTGGATATTTGGCTAGTTTTGAGGATTTCGTTGGAAGCGGGAATTCATACAAATTGCAGACTGCAGCGTTCTGAGAAACATCTTTGTGATGTTTGTATTCAGGACACAGAGTTGAACATTCCCTATCATAGAGCAGGTTGGAATCACTCCTTTTGTAGTATCTGGAAGTGGACATTTGGAGCGCTTTCAGGCCTATTTTGGAAAGGGAAATATCTTCCCGTAACAACTATGCAGAAGCATTCTCAGAAACTTGTTTGTGATGTGTGCCCTCTACTGACAGAGTTGAACCTTTCTTTTCATAGAGCAGTTTTGAAACACTCTTTTTGTAGAATCTGCAAGAGGATATTTGCATAGCTTTGAGGATTTCGTGGGAAACGGGATTGTCTTCAGGTAAAATCTAGACAGAAGCATTCTCAGAAACTTCTTTGGGATGTTTGCATTCAAGTCACAGAGTAGAACATTCCCTTTGGTAGAGCAGGTTTGAAACACTCTTTTTGTAGTATCTGGAAGTGGACATTTGGAGCGCTTTCAGGCCCATGTTGGAAAGGGAAATATCTTCCCGTAACAACTAGGCAGAAGCATTCTCAGAAACTTATTTGAGATGTGTGTACTCAACTAAGAGAATTGAACAACCGTTTTGAAGGAGCAGTTTTGAAACACTCTTTTTCTGGAATCTGCAAGAGTATATTTGCCTAGCCTTGAGGATTTCGTTGGAAACGGGATTGTCTTCAGATAAAATCTAGACAGAAGCATTCTCAGAAACTTCTTTGGGATGTTTGCATTCAAGTCACAGAGTAGAACATTCCCTTTGGTAGAGCAGGTTTGAAACACTCTTTTTTTAGTATATGGAAGTGGACATTTGGAGCGCTTTCAGGCCTACGTTGGAAAAGGAAATATCTTCCCATAACAACTAGACAGAAGCATTCTCAGAATCTAGTTTCTGATGTGTGTCCTCAACTAACACAGTTGAACTTTTCTTTAGACAGAACAGTTTTGAAACACTCTTTTTGTGGAATCTGCAAGTGGATATTGGGCTAGATTTGAGGATTTCGTTGGAAACGGGATTACATATAAAAAGCAGACAGCAGCATTCTCAGAAAGTTCTTTGTGATGATTGCATTCAAGTCACAGAATTGAACATTCCCTTTCACAGAGCAGGTTTGAAACACTCTTTTTGTAGTGTGTGTAAGTGGACATTTGGAGCACTTACCGGCCTAAGGTGAAAAAGGAAATATCTTCCCATAAAAACTAGACAGAAGCATTCTCAGAAACTTACTCGTGATGTGTGTCCTCAACTAAAGGAGTAGAACCTTTCTTTTCATAGAGAAGTTTTGAAACGCTCTTTTTGTGGAATCTGCAAGTGGATATTTGGCTAGTTTTGAGGATTTCGTTGGAAGCGGGAATTCATACAAATTGCAGACTGCAGCGTTCTGAGAAACATCTTTGTGATGTTTGTATTCAGGACACAGAGTTGAACATTCCCTATCATAGAGCAGGTTTGAATCACTCCTTTTGTAGTATCTGGAAGTGGACATTTGGAGCGTTTTCAGGCCTATGTTGGAAAAGGAAATATCTTCCCATAACAACTAGACAGAAGCATTCTCAGAAACTTATTTGAGATGTGTGTACTCAACTAAGAGAATTGAACCACCGTTTTGAAGGAGCAGTTTTGAAACTCTCTTTTTCTGGAATCTGCAAGTGGATATTTGGCTAGCTTTGGGGATTTCGCTGGAAGCGGGAATACATATAAAAAGCACACAGCAGCGTTCTGAGAAACTGCTTTCTGATGTTTGCATTCAAGTCAAAAGTTGAACACTCCCTTTCATAGAGCAGTCTTGAAACACCCCTTTTGTAGTATCTGGAACTGGACTTTTGGAGCGATTTCAGGGCTAAGGTGAAAAAGGAAATATCTTCCCATAAAAACTGGACAGAAGCATTCTCAGAAACTTGTTTATGCTGTATCTACTCAACTAACAAAGTTGAACCTTTCTTTTGATAGAGCAGTTTTGAAATGCTCTTTTTGTGGAATCTGCAAGTGGATATTTGGCTAGTTTTGAGGATTTCGTTGGAAGCGGGAATTCATACAAATTGCAGACTGCAGCGTTCTGAGAAACATCTTTGTGATGTTTGTATTCAGGACACAGAGTTGAACATTCCCTATCATAGAGCAGGTTGGAATCACTCCTTTTGTAGTATCTGGAAGTGGACATTTGGAGCGCTTTCAGGCCTATGTTGAAAAAGGAAATATCTTCCCATAACAAGTAGACACAAGCATTCTCAGAAACTTGTTTGTGATGTGTGCCCTCTACTGACAGAGTTGAACCTTTCTTTTCATAGAGCAGTTTCGCAACACTCTTTTTGTAGAATCTGCAAGAGGATATTTGCATAGCTTTGAGGATTTCGTGGGAAACGGGATTGTCTTCAGGTAAAATCTAGACAGAAGCATTCTCAGAAAATTCTTCGGGATGTTTGCATTCAAGTCACAGAGTAGAACATTCCCTTTGGTAGAGCAGGTTTGAAACACTCTTTTTGTAGTATCTGGAAGTGGACATTTGGAGCGCTTTCAGGCCTATGTTGGAAAGGGAAATATCTTCCCGTAACAACTAGGCAGAAGCATTCTCAGAAACTTATTTGAGATGTGTGTACTGAACTAAGAGAATTGAACCACCGTTTTGAAGGAGCAGGTTTGAAACACTCTTTTTGTAGTATCTGGAAGTGGACATTTGGAGCGCTTTCAGGCCTATGTTGGAAAGGGAAATATCTTCCCGTAACAACTAGGCAGAAGCATTCTCAGAAACTTATTTGAGATGTGTGTACTCAACTAAGAGAATTGAACCACCGTTTTGAAGGAGCAGTTTTGAAACACTCTTTTTCTGGAATCTGCAAGAGGATATTTGCATAGATTTGAGGATTTCGTTGGAAACGGGATTGTCTTCAGATAAAATCTAGACAGAAGCATTCTCAGAAACTTCTTTGGGATGTTTGCATTCAAGTCACAGAGTAGAACATTCCCTTTGGTAGAGCAGGTTTGAAACACTCTTTTTTTAGTATATGGAAGTGGACATTTGGAGCGCTTTCAGGCCTACGTTGGAAAAGGAAATATCTTCCCATAACAACTAGACAGAAGCATTCTCAGAAACTAGTTTCTGATGTGTGTCCTCAACTAACACAGTTGAACATTTCTTTAGACAGAACAGTTTTGAAACACTCTTTTTGTGGTATCTGCAAGTGGCTATTTGGCTAGATTTGAGGATTTCGTTGGAAACGGGATTACATATAAAAAGCAGACAGCAGCATTCTCAGAAACTTCTTTGTGATGATTGCATTCAAGTCACAGAATTGAACATTCCCTTTCACAGAGCAGGTTTGAAACACTCTTTTTGTAGTGTGTGTAAGTGGACATTTGGAGCGCTTTCCGGCCTAAGGTGAACAAGGAAAATATCTTCCCATAAAAACTAGACAGAAGCATTCTCAGAAACTTACTCGTGATGTGTGTCCTCAACTAAAGGAGTAGAACCTTTCTTTTCATAGAGAAGTTTTGAAACGCTCTTTTTGTGGAATCTGCAAGTGGATATTTGGCTAGTTTTGAGGATTTCGTTGGAAGCGGGAATTCATACAAATTGCAGACTGCAGCGTTCTGAGAAACATCTTTGTGATGTTTGTCTTCAGGACACAGAGTTGAACATTCCCTATCATAGAGCAGGTTTGAATCACTCCTTTTGTAGTATCTGGAAGTGGACATTTGGAGCACTTTCAGGCCTATGTTGGAAAAGGAAATATCTTCCCATAACAACTAGACACAAGCATTCTCAGAAACTTATTTGAGATGTGTGTACTCAACTAAGAGAATTGAACCACCGTTTTGAAGGAGCAGTTTTGAAACACTCTTTTTCTGGAATCTGCAAGTGGATATTTGGCTAGCTTTGGGGATTTCGCTGGAAGCGGGAATACATATAAAAAGCACACAGCAGCGTTCTGAGAAACTGCTTTCTGATGTTTGCATTCAAGTCAAAAGTTGAACACTCCCTTTCATAGAGCAGTCCTGAAACACCCCTTTTGTAGTATCTGGAACTGGACTTTTGGAGCGATTTCAGGGCTAAGGTGAAAAAGGAAATATCTTCCCATAAAAACTGGACAGAAGCATTCTCAGAAACTTGTTTATGCTGTATCTACTCAACTAACAAAGTTGAACCTTTCTTTTGATAGAGCAGTTTTGAAATGGTCTTTTTGTGGAATCTGCAAGTGGATATTTGGCTAGTTTGGAGGATTTCGTTGGAAGCGGGAATTCATACAAATTGCAGACTGCAGCGTTCTGAGAAACATCTTTGTGATGTTTGTATTCAGGACACAGAGTTGAACATTCCCTATCATAGAGCAGGTTGGAATCACTCCTTTTGTAGTATCTGGAAGTGGACATTTGGAGCGCTTTCAGGCCTATGTTGAAAAAGGAAATATCTTCCCATAACAACTAGACACAAGCATTCTCAGAAACTTGTTTGTGATGTGTGCCCTCTACTGACAGAGTTGAACCTTTCTTTTCATAGAGCAGTTTTGAAACACTCTTTTTGTAGAATCTGCAAGAGGATATTTGCATAGCTTTGAGGATTTCGTGGGAAACGGGATTGTCTTCAGGTAAAATCTAGACAGAAGCATTCTCAGAAACTTCTTTGGGATGTTTGCATTCAAGTCACAGAGTAGAACATTCCCTTTGGAAGAGCAGGTTTGAAACCCTCTTTTTGTAGTATCTGGAAGTGGACATTTGGAGCGCTTTCAGGCCCATGTTGGAAAGGGAAATATCTTCCCGTAACAACTAGGCAGAAGCATTCTCAGAAACTTATTTGAGATGTGTGTACTCAACTAAGAGAATTGAACCACCGTTTTCAAGGAGCAGTTTTGAAACACTCTTTTTCTGGAATCTGCAAGAGTATATTTGCCTAGCCTTGAGGATTTCGTTGGAAACGGGATTGTCTTCAGATAAAATCTAGACAGAAGCATTCTCAGAAACTTCTTTGGGATGTTTGCATTCAAGTCACAGAGTAGAACATTCCTTTGGTAGAGCAGGTTTGAAACACTCTTTTTTTAGTATATGGAAGTGGACATTTGGAGCGCTTTCAGGCCTACGTTGGAAAAGGAAATATCTTCCCATAACAACTAGACGGAAGCATTCTCAGAAACTAGTTTCTGATGTGTGTCCTCAACTAACACAGTTGAACATTTCTTTAGACAGAACAGTTTTGAAACACTCTTTTTGTGGAATCTGCAAGTGGCTATTTGGCTGGATTTGAGGATTTCGTTGGAAACGGGATTACATATAAAAAGCAGTCAGCAGCATTCTCAGAACGTTCTTTGTGATGATTGCATTCAAGTCACAGAATTGAACATTCCCTTTCACAGAGCAGGTTTGAAACACTCTTTTTGTAGTGTGTGTAAGTGGACATTTGGAGCACTTTCCGGCCTAAGGTGAAAAAGGAAATATCTTCCCATAAAAACTAGACAGAAGCATTCTCAGAAACTTACTCGTGATGTGTGTCCTCAACTAAAGGAGTAGAACCTTTCTTTTCATAGAGAAGTTTTGAAACGCTCTTTTTGTGGAATCTGCAAGTGGATATTTGGCTAGTTTTGAGGATTTCGTTGGAAGCGGGAATTCATACAAATTGCAGACTGCAGCGTTCTGAGAAACATCTTTGTGATGTTTGTATTCAGGACACAGAGTTGAACATTCCCTATCATAGAGCAGGTTTGAATCATTCCTTTTGTAGTATCTGGAAGTGGACATTTGGAGCGCTTTCAGGCCTATGTTGGAAAAGGAAATATCTTCCCATAACAAGTAGACAGAAGCATTCTCAGAAACTTATTTGAGATGTGTGTACTCAACTAAGAGAATTGAACCACCGTTTTGAAGGAGCAGTTTTGAAACACTCTTTTTCTGGAATCTGCAAGTGGATATTTAGCTAGATATGAGGATTTCGTTGGAAACGGGATTACATATACAAAGCAGACAGCAGCAGTCTCAGAAAGTTCTTTGTGATGATTGCATTCAAGTCACAGAATTGAACATTCCCTTTCACAGAGCAGGTTTGAAACACTCTTTTTGTAGTGTGTGTAAGTGGACATTTGGAGCACTTACCGGCCTAAGGTGAAAAAGGAAATATCTTCCCATAAAAACTAGACAAGCGTTCTGAGAAACTGCTTTCTGATGTTTGCATTCAAGTCAAAAGTTGAACACTCCCTTTCATAGAGCAGGCCTGAAACACCCCTTTTGTAGAATCTGGAAGTGGACATTTGGAGCGCTTTCAGGGCTAAGGTGAAAAAGGAAATATCTTCCCATAAAAACTGGACAGAAGCATTCTCAGAAACTTGTCCATGCTGTATCTACTCAACTAACAAAGTTGAACCTTTCTTTTGATAGAGCAGTTTTGAAATGCTCTTTTTCTGGAATCTGCAAGTGGATATTTGGCTAGTTTTGAGGATTTCGTTGGAAGCGGGAATTCATACGAATTGCAGACTGCAGCGTTCTGAGAAACATCTTTGTGATGTTTGTATTCAGGACACAGGGTTGAACATTACCTATCGTAGAGCAGGTTGGAATCACTCCTTTTGTAGTATCTGGAAGTGGCCATTTGGAGCGCTTTCAGGCCTATGTTGAAAAAGGAAATATCTTCCCAAAACAACTAGACAGAAGCATTCTCAGAAACTTGTTTGTGATGTGTGCCCTCTACTGACAGAGTTGAACCTTTCCTTTCATAGAGCAGTTTCGAAACACTCTTTGTGTAGAATCTGCAAGAGGATATTTGCATAAGTTTGAGGATTTCGTTGGAAACGGGATTGTCTTCAGGTAAAATCAAGACAGAAGCATTCTCAGAAACTTCTTTGGGATGTTTGCATTCAAGTCACAGAGGAGAACATTCCCTTTGGTAGAGCAGGTTTGAAACACTCTTTTTGTAGTATCTGGAAGTGGACATTTGGAGCGCTTCCAGTCCTACGTTGGAAAAGGAAATATCTTCCCATAACAACTAGACAGAAGCCTTCTCAGAAACTAGTTTCTGAGGTGTGTCCTCAACTAACAGAGTTGAACCTTTCTTTTGACAGACCAGTTTTGAAACACTCTTTTTGAGGAATCTGCAAGTGGATATTTGGCTAGATTTGAGGATTTCGTTGGACACGGGATTACGAATAAAAAGCAGACAGCAGCATTCTCAGAAACTTCTTTGTGGTGATTGCATTCAAGTCACAGAATTGAACATTCCCTTTCACAGAGCAGGTTTGAAACACTCTTTTGTAGTGTCTGTAAGTGGACATTTGGAGCGCTTTCCGGCCTCAGGTGAAAAAGGAAATATCTTCCCATAAAAACTAGACAGAAGCATTCTCAGAAACTTACTCGTGATGGGTGTCCTCAACTAAAGGAGTAGAACCTTTCTTTTCATAGAGAAGTTTTGAAACGCTCTTTTTGTGGAATCTGCAAGTGGATATTTGGCTAGTTTTGAGGATTTCGTTGGAAGCGGGAATTCATGCAAATTGCAGACTGCAGCGTTCTGAGAAACATCTTTGTGATGTTTGTATTTAGGACACAGAGTTGAACATTCCCTATCATAGAGCAGGTTGGAATCACTCCTTTTGTGGTATCTGGAAGTGGACGTTTGGAGCGCTTTCAGGCCTATGTTGGAAAAGGAAATATCCTCCCATAACAGCTAGACAGAAGCATTCTCAGAAACCTATTTGAGATGTGTGTACTCAACTAGGAGAATTGAACCGCCGTTTTGAAGGAGCAGTTTTGAAACACTCGTTTTCTGGAATCTGCAAGTGGATATTTGGCTAGCTTTGGGGATTTCGCTGGAAGCGGGAATACATATAAAAAGCACACAGCAGCGTTCTGAGAAACTGCTTTCTGATGTTTGCATTCAAGTCAAAAGTTGAACACTCCCTTTCATAGAGCAGGCCTGAAACACCCCTTTTGTAGAATCTGGAAGTGGACATTTGGAGCGCTTTCAGGGCTAAGGTGAAAAAGGAAATATCTTCCCATAAAAACTGGACAGAAGCATTCTCAGAAACTTGTCCATGCTGTATCTACTCAACTAACAAAGTTGAACCTTTCTTTTGATAGAGCAGTTTTGAAATGCTCTTTTTCTGGAATCTGCAAGTGGATATTTGGCTAGTTTTGAGGATTTCGTTGGAAGCGGGAATTCATACGAATTGCAGACTGCAGCGTTCTGAGGAAACATCTTTGTGATGTTTGTATTCAGGACACAGAGTTGAACATTCCCTATCATAGAGCAGGTTTGAATCACTCCTTTTGTAGTATCTGGAAGTGGACATTTGGAGCGCTTTCAGGCCTATGTTGGAAAAGGAAATATCTTCCCATAACAACTAGACAGAAGCATTCTCAGAAACTTATTTGAGATGTGTGTACTCAACTAAGAGAATTGAACCACCGTTTTGAAGGAGCAGTTTTGAAACACTCTTTTTCTGGAATCTGCAAGTGGATATTTGGCTAGCTTTGGGGATTTCGCTGGAAGCGGGAATACATATAAAAAGCACACAGCAGCGTTCTGAGAAACTGCTTTCTGATGTTTGCATTCAAGTCAAAAGTTGAACACTCCCTTTCATAGAGCAGTCTTGAAACACCCCTTTTGTAGTATCTGGAACTGGACTTTTGGAGCGATTTCAGGGCTAAGGTGAAAAAGGAAATATCTTCCCATAAAAACTGGACAGAAGCATTCTCAGAAACTTGTTTATGCTGTATCTACTCAACTAACAAAGTTGAACCTTTCTTTTGATAGAGCAGTTTTGAAATGGTCTTTTTGTGGAATCTGCAAGTGGATATTTGGCTAGTTTTTAGGATTTCGTTGGAAGCGGGAATTCATACAAATTGCAGACTGCAGCGTTCTGAGAAACATCTTTGTGATGTTTGTATTCAGGACAGAGAGTTGAACATTCCCTATCATAGAGCAGGTTGGAATCACTCCTTTTGTAGTATCTGGAAGTGGACATTTGGAGCGCTTTCAGGCCTATGTTGAAAAAGGAAATATCTTCCCATAACAACTAGACACAAGCATTCTCAGAAACTTGTTTGTGATGTGTGCCCTCTACTGACAGAGTTGAACCTTTCTTTTCATAGAGCAGTTTTGAAACACTCTTTTTGTAGAATCTGCAAGAGGATATTTGCATAGCTTTGAGGATTTCGTGGGAAACGGGATTGTCTTCAGGTAAAATCTAGACAGAAGCATTCTCAGAAACTTCTTTGGGATGTTTGCATTCAAGTCACAGAGTAGAACATTCCCTTTGGTAGAGCAGGTTTGAAACACTCTTTTTGTAGTATCTGGAAGTGGACATTTGGAGCGCTTTCAGGCCTATGTTGGAAAGGGAAATATCTTCCCGTAACAACTAGGCAGAAGCATTCTCAGAAACTTATTTGAGATGTGTGTACTCAACTAAGAGAATTGAACCACCGTTTTGAAGGAGCAGTTTTGAAACACTCTTTTTCTGGAATCTGCAAGAGTATATTTGCCTAGCCTTGAGGATTTCGTTGGAAACGGGATTGTCTTCAGAGAAAATCTAGACAGAAGCATTCTCAGAAACTTCTTTGGGATGTTTGCATTCAAGTCACAGAGTAGAACATTCCCTTTGGTAGAGCAGGTTTGAAACACTCTTTTTTTAGTATATGGAAGTGGACATTTGGAGCGCTTTCAGGCCTACGTTGGAAAAGGAAATATCTTCCCATAACAACTAGACAGAAGCATTCTCAGAAACTAGTTTCTGATGTGTGTCCTCAACTAACACAGTTGAACATTTCTTTAGACAGAACAGTTTTGAAACACTCTTTTTGTGGAATCTGCAAGTGGCTATTTGGCTAGATTTGAGGATTTCGTTGGAAACGGGATTACATATAAAAAGCAGACAGCAGCATTCTCAGAAAGTTCTTTGTGATGATTGCATTCAAGTCACAGAATTGAACATTCCCTTTCACAGAGCAGGTTTCAAACACTCTTTTTGTAGTGTGTGTAAGTGGACATTTGGAGCACTTTCCGGCCTAAGGTGAAAAAGGAAATATCTTCCCATAAAAACTAGACAGAAGCATTCTCAGAAACTTACTCGTGATGTGTGTCCTCAACTAAAGGAGTAGAACCTTTCTTTTCATAGAGAAGTTTTGAAACGCTCTTTTTGTGGAATCTGCAAGTGGATATTTGGCTAGTTTTGAGGATTTCGTTGGAAGCGGGAATTCATACAAATTGCAGACTGCAGCGTTCTGAGAAACATCTTTGTGATGTTTGTATTCAGGACACAGAGATGAACATTCCCTATCATAGAGCAGGTTGGAATCACTCCTTTTGTAGTATCTGGAAGTGGACATTTGGAGCGCTTTCAGGCCTATGTTGAAAAAGGAAATATCTTCCCATAACAACTAGACACAAGCATTCTCAGAAACTTATTTGAGATGTGTGTACTCAACTAAGAGAATTGAACCACCGTTTTGAAGGAGCAGTTTTGAAACACTCTTTTTCTGGAATCTGCAAGTGGATATTTGGCTAGCTTTGGGGATTTCGCTGGAAGCGGGAATACATATAAAAAGCACACAGCAGCGTTCTGAGAAACTGCTTTCTGATGTTTGCATTCAAGTCAAAAGTTGAACACTCCCTTTCATAGAGCAGTCCTGAAACACTCCTTTTGTAGTATCTGGAACTGGACTTTTGGAGCGCTTTCAGGGCTAAGGTGAAAAAGGAAATATCTTCCCATAAAAACTGGACAGAAGCATTCTCAGAAACTTGTTTATGCTGTATCTACTCAACTAACAAAGTTGAACCTTTCTTTTGATAGAGCAGTTTTGAAATGGTCTTTTTGTGGAATCTGCAAGTGGATATTTGGCTAGTTTTGAGGATTTCGTTGGAAGCGGGAATTCATACAAATTGCAGACTGCAGCGTTCTGAGAAACATCTTTGTGATGTTTGTATTCAGGACACAGAGTTGAACATTCCCTATCATAGGGCAGGTTGGAATCACTCCTTTTGTAGTATCTGGAAGTGGACATTTGGAGCGCTTTCAGGCCTATTTTGGAAAGGGAAATATCTTCCCGTAACAACTATGCAGAAGCATTCTCAGAAACTTGTTTGTGATGTGTGCCCTCTACTGACAGAGTTGAACCTTTCTTTTCATAGAGCAGTTTTGAAACACTCTTTTTGTAGAATCTGCAAGAGGATATTTGCATAGCTTTGAGGATTTCGTGGGAAACGGGATTGTCTTCAGGTAAAATCTAGACAGAAGCATTCTCAGAAACTTCTTTGGGATGTTTGCATTCAAGTCACAGAGTAGAACATTCCCTTTGGTAGAGCAGGTTTGAAACACTCTTTTTGTAGTATCTGGAAGTGGACATTTGGAGCGCTTCAGGCCCATGTTGGAAAGGGAAATATCTTCCCGTAACAACTAGGCAGAAGCATTCTCAGAAACTTATTTGAGATGTGTGTACTCAACTAAGAGAATTGAACCACCGTTTTGAAGGAGCAGTTTTGAAACCCTCTTTTTCTGGAATCTGAAAGAGTATATTTGCCTAGCCTTGAGGATTTCGTTGGAAACGGGATTGTCTTCAGATAAAATCTAGACAGAAGCATTCTCAGAAACTTCTTTGGGATGTTTGCATTCAAGTCACAGAGTAGAACATTCCCTTTGGTAGAGCAGGTTTGAAACACTCTTTTTTTAGTATATGGAAGTGGACATTTTGATCGCTTTCAGGCCTACGTTGGAAAAGGAAATATCTTCCCATAACAACTAGACAGAAGCATTCTCAGAAACTAGTTTCTGATGTGTGCCCTCAACTAACACAGTTGAACATTTCTATAGACAGAACAGTTTTGAAACACTCTTTTTGTGGAATCTGCAAGTGGCTATTTGGCTAGATTTGAGGATTTCGTTGGAAACGGGATTACATATAAAAAGCAGTCAGCAGCATTCTCAGAAAGTTCTTTGTGATGATTGCATTCAAGTCACAGAATTGAACATTCCCTTTCACAGAGCAGGTTTGAAACACGCTTTTTGTAGTGTGTGTAAGTGGACATTTGGAACCCTTACCGGCCTAAGGTGAAAAAGGAAATATCTTCCCATAAAAACTAGACAGAAGCATTCTCAGAAACTTACTCGTGATGTGTGTCCTCAACTAAAGGAGTGGAACCTTTCTTTTCATAGAGAAGTTTTGAAACGCTCTTTTTGTGGAATCTGCAAGTGGATATTTGGCTAGTTTTGAGGATTTCGTTGGAAGCGGGAATTCATACAAATTGCAGACTGCAGCGTTCTGAGAAACATCTTTGTGATGTTTGTATTCAGGACACAGAGTTGAACATTCCCTATCATAGAGCAGGTTGGAATCACTCCTTTTGTAGTATCTGGAAGTGGACATTTGGAGCGCTTTCAGGTCTATTTTGGAAAGGGAAATATCTTCCCGTAACAACTATGCAGAAGCATTCTCAGAAACTTGTTTGTGATGTGTGCCCTCTACTGACAGAGTTGAACCTTTCTTTTCATAGAGCAGTTTTGAAACACTCTTTTTGTAGAATCTGCAAGAGGATATTTGCATAGCTTTGAGGATTTCGTGGGAAACGGGATTGTCTTCAGGTAAAATCTAGACAGAAGCATTCTCAGAAACTTCTTTGGGATGTTTGCATTCAAGTCACAGAGTAGAACATTCCCTTTGGTAGAGCAGGTTTGAAACCCTCTTTTTGTAGTATCTGGAAGTGGACATTTGGAGCGCTTTCAGGCCCATGTTGGAAAGGGAAATATCTTCCCGTAACAACGAGGCAGAAGCATTCTCAGAAACTTATTTGAGATGTGTGTACTCAACTAAGAGAATTGAACCACCGTTTTGAAGGAGCAGTTTTGAAACCCTCTTTTTCTGGAATCTGCAAGAGTATATTTGCCTAGCCTTGAGGATTTCGTTGGAAACGGGATTGTCTTCAGATAAAATCTAGACAGAAGCATTCTCAGAAACTTCTTTGGGATGTTTGCATTCAAGTCACAGAGTAGAACATTCCCTTTGGTAGAGCAGGTTTGAAACACTCTTTTTTTAGTATATGGAAGTGGACATTTGGAGCGCTTTCAGGCCTACTTTGGAAAAGGAAATATCTTCCCATAACAACTAGACAGAAGCATTCTCAGAAACTAGTTTCTGATGTGTGTCCTCAACTAACACAGTTGTACATTTCTTTAGACAGAACAGTTTTGAAACACTCTTTTTGTGGAATCTGCAAGTGGATATTGGGCTAGATTTGAGGATTTCGTTGGAAACGGGATTACATATAAAAAGCAGTCAGCAGCATTCTCAGAAAGTTCTTTGTGATGATTGCATTCAAGTCACAGAATTGAACATTCCCTTTCACAGAGCAGGTTTGAAACACTCTTTTTGTAGTGTGTGTAAGTGGACATTTGGAGCGCTTTCCGGCCTAAGGTGAAAAAGGACATATCTTCCCATAAAAACTAGACAGAAGCATTCTCAGAAACTTACTCGTGATGTGTGTCTTCAACTAAAGGAGTAGAACCTCTCTATTCATAGAGAAGTTTTGAAACGCTCTTTTTGTGGAATCTCCAAGTGGATATTTGGCTAGTTTTGAGGATTTCGTTGGAAGCGGGAATTCATACAAATTGCAGACTGCAGCGTTCTGAGAAACATCTTTGTGATGTTTGTATTCAGGACACAGAGTTGAACATTCCCTATCATAGAGCAGGTTTGAATCACTCCTTTTGTAGTATCTGGAAGTGGACATTTGGAGCGCTTTCAGGCCTATGTTGGAAAAGGAAATATCTTCCCATAACAACTAGACAGAAGCATTCTCAGAAACTTATTTGAGATGTGTGTACTCAACTAAGAGAATTGAACCACCGTTTTGAAGGAGCAGTTTTGAAACACTCTTTTTCTGGAATCTGCAAGTGGATATTTGGCTAGCTTTGGGGATTTCGCTGGAAGCGGGAATACATATAAAAAGCACACAGCAGCGTTCTGAGAAACTGCTTTCTGATGTTTGCATTCAAGTCAAAAGTTGAACACTCCCTTTCATAGAGCAGTCCTGAAACACTCCTTTTGTAGTATCTGGAACTGGACTTTTGGAGCGCTTTCAGGGCTAAGGTGAAAAAGGAAATATCTTCCCATAAAAACTGGACAGAAGCATTCTCAGAAACTTGTTTATGCTGTATCTACTCTACTAAAAAAGTTGAACCTTTCTTTTGATAGAGCAGTTTTGAAATGCTCTTTTTGTGGAATCTGCAAGTGGATATTTGGCTAGATTTGAGGATTTCGTTGGAAGCTGGAATACATACAAATTGCAGACTGCAGCGTTCTGAGAAACATCTTTGTGATGTTTGTATTCAGGACACAGAGTTGAACATTCCCTATCATAGAGCAGGTTGGAATCACTCCTTTTGTAGTATCTGGAAGTGGACATTTGGAGCGCTTTCAGGCCTATGTTGGAAAAGGAAATATCTTCCCATAACAACTAGACAGAAGCATTCTCAGAAACTTATTTGAGATGTGTGTACTCAACTAAGAGAATTGAACCACCGTTTTGAAGGAGCAGTTTTGAAACACTCTTTTTCTGGAATCTGCAAGTGGATATTTGGCTAGCTTTGGGGATTTCGCTGGAAGCGGGAATACATATAAAAAGCACACAGCAGCGTTCTGAGAAACTGCTTTCTGATGTTTGCATTCAAGTCAAAAGTTGAACACTCCCTTTCATAGAGCAGTCTTGAAACACCCCTTTTGTAGTATCTGGAACTGGACTTTTGGAGCGATTTCAGGGCTAAGGTGAAAAAGGAAATATCTTCCCATAAAAACTGGACAGAAGCATTCTCAGAAACTTGTTTATGCTGTATCTACTCAACTAACAAAGTTGAACCTTTCTTTTGATAGAGCAGTTTTGAAATGGTCTTTTTGTGGAATCTGCAAGTGGATATTTGGCTAGTTTTTAGGATTTCGTTGGAAGCGGGAATTCATACAAATTGCAGACTGCAGCGTTCTGAGAAACATCTTTGTGATGTTTGTATTCAGGACAGAGAGTTGAACATTCCCTATCATAGAGCAGGTTGGAATCACTCCTTTTGTAGTATCTGGAAGTGGACATTTGGAGCGCTTTCAGGCCTATGTTGAAAAAGGAAATATCTTCCCATAACAACTAGACACAAGCATTCTCAGAAACTTGTTTGTGATGTGTGCCCTCTACTGACAGAGTTGAACCTTTCTTTTCATAGAGCAGTTTTGAAACACTCTTTTTGTAGAATCTGCAAGAGGATATTTGCATAGCTTTGAGGATTACGTGGGAAACGGGATTGTCTTCAGGTAAAATCTAGACAGAAGCATTCTCAGAAACTTCTTTGGGATGTTTGCATTCAAGTCACAGAGTAGAACATTCCCTTTGGTAGAGTAGGTTTGAAACACACTTTTTGTAGTATCTGGAAGTGGACATTTGGAGCGCTTTCAGGCCTATGTTGGAAAGGGAAATATCTTCCCGTAACAACTAGGCAGAAGCATTCTCAGAAACTTATTTGAGATGTGTGTACTCAACTAAGAGAATTGAACCACCGTTTTGAAGGAGCAGATTTGAAACACTCTTTTTCTGGAATCTGCAAGAGTATATTTGCCTAGCCTTGAAGATTTCGTTGGAAACGGGATTGTCTTCAGATAAAATCTAGACAGAAGCATTCTCAGAAACTTCTTTGGGATGTTTGCATTCAAGTCACAGAGTAGAACATTCCCTTTGGTAGAGCAGGTTTGAAACACTCTTTTTTTAGTATATGGAAGTGGACATTTGGAGCGCTTTCAGGCCTACGTTGGAAAAGGAAATATCTTCCCATAACAACTAGACAGAAGCATTCTCAGAAACTAGTTTCTGATGTGTGTCCTCAACTAACACAGTTGAACATTTCTTTAGACAGAACAGTTTTGAAACACTCTCTTTGTGGAATCTGCAAGTGGATATTTGGCTAGATTTGAGGATTTCGTTGGAAACGGGATTACATATAAAAAGCAGACAGCAGCATTCTCAGAAACTTCTTTGTGATGATTGCATTCAAGTCACAAAATTGAACATTCCCTTTCACAGAGCAGGTTTGAAACACTCTTTTTGTAGTGTGTGTAAGTGGACCTTTGGAGCGCTTTCCGGCCTAAGGTGAAAAAGGACATATCTTCCCATAAAAACTAGACAGAAGCATTCTCAGAAACTTACTCGTGATGTGTGTCCTCAACTAAAGGAGTAGAACCTTTCTTTTCATAGAGAAGTTTTGAAACGCTCTTTTTGTGGAATCTGCAAGTGGATATTTGGCTAGTTTGGAGGATTTCGTTGGAAGCGGGAATTCATACAAATTGCAGACTGCAGCGTTCTGAGAAACATCTTTGTGATGTTTGTATTCAGGACACAGAGTTGAACATTCCCTATCATAGAGCAGGTTGGAATCACTCCTTTTGTAGTATCTGGAAGTGGACATTTGGAGCGCTTTCAGGCCTATGTTGGAAAAGGAAATATCTTCCCATAACAACTAGACAGAAGCATTCTCAGAAACTTATTTGAGATGTGTGTACTCAACTAAGAGAATTGAACCACCGTTTTGAAGGAGCAGTTTTGAAACACTCTTTTTCTGGAATCTGCAAGTGGATATTTGGCTAGCTTTGGGGATTTCGCTGGAAGCGGGAATACATATAAAAAGCACACAGCAGCGTTCTGAGAAACTGCTTTCTGATGTTTGCATTCAAGTCAAAAGTTGAACACTCCCTTTCATAGTGCAGTCCTGAAACACTCCTTTTGTAGTATCTGGAACTGGACTTTTGGAGCGCTTTCAGGGCTAAGGTGAAAAAGGAAATATCTTCCCATAAAAACTGGACAGAAGCATTCTCAGAAACTTGTTTATGCTGTATCTACTCAACTAACAAAGTTGAACCTTTCTTTTGATAGAGCAGTTTTGAAATGCTCTTTTTGTGGAATCTGCAAGTGGATATTTGGCTAGTTTTGAGGATTTCGTTGGAAGCGGGAATTCATACAAATTGCAGACTGCAGCGTTCTGAGAAACATCTTTGTGATGTTTGTATTCAAGACACAGAGATGAACATTCCCTATCATAGAGCATGTTGGAATCACTCCTTTTGTAGTATCTGGAAGTGGACATTTGGAGCGCTTTCAGGCCTATGTTGAAAAAGGAAATATCTTCCCATAACAACTAGACACAAGCGTTCTCAGAAACTTGTTTGTGATGTGTGCCCTCTACTGACAGAGTTGAACCTTTCTTTTCATAGAGCAGTTTTGAAACACTCTTTTTGTAGAATCTGCAAGAGGATATTTGCATAGCTTTGAGGATTTCGTGGGAAACGGGATTGTCTTCAGGTAAAATCTAGACAGAAGCATTCTCAGAAACTTCTTTGGGATGTTTGCATTCAAGTCACAGAGTAGAACATTCCCTTTGGTAGAGCAGGTTTGAAACCCTCTTTTTGTAGTATCTGGAAGTGGACATTTGGAGCGCTTTCAGGCCCATGTTGGAAAGGGAAATATCTTCCCGTAACAACTAGGCAGAAGCATTCTCAGAAACTTATTTGAGATGTGTGTACTCAACTAAGAGAATTGAACCACCGTTTTGAAGGAGCAGTTTTGAAACACTCTTTTTCTGGAATCTGCAAGAGTATATTTGCCTAGCCTTGAGGATTTCGTTGGAAACGGGATTGTCTTCAGAGAAAATCTAGACAGAAGCATTCTCAGAAACTTCTTTGGGATGTTTGCATTCAAGTCACAGAGTAGAACATTCTCTTTGGTAGAGCAGGTTTGAAACACTCTTTTTTTAGTATCTGGAAGTGGACATTTGGAGCGCTTTCAGGCCTACGTTGGAAAAGGAAATATCTTCCCATAACAACTAGACAGAAGCATTCTCAGAAACTAGTTTCTGATGTGTGTCCTCAACTAACACAGTTGAACATTTCTTTAGACAGAACAGTTTTGAAACACTCTTTTTGTGGAATCTGCAAGTGGCTATTTGGCTAGATTTGAGGATTTCGTTGGAAACGGGATTACATATAAAAAGCAGACAGCAGCATTCTCAGAAAGTTCTTTGTGATGATTGCATTCAAGTCACAGAATTGAACATTCCCTTTCACAGAGCAGGTTTGAAACACTCTTTTTGTAGTGTGTGTAAGTGGACATTTGGAGCACTTTCCGGCCTAAGGTGAAAAAGGAAATATCTTCCCTTAAAAACTAGACAGAAGCATTCTCAGAAACTTACTCGTGATGTGTGTCCTCAACTAAAGGAGTAGAACCTTTCTTTTCATAGAGAAGTTTTGAAACGCTCTTTTTGTGGAATCTGCAAGTGGATATTTGGCTAGTTTGGAGGATTTCGTTGGAAGCGGGAATTCATACAAATTGCAGACTGCAGCGTTCTGAGAAACATCTTTGTGATGTTTGTATTCAGGACACAGAGTTGAACATTCCCTATCATAGAGCAGGTTGGAATCACTCCTTTTGTAGTATCTGGAAGTGGACATTTGGAGCGCTTTCAGGCCTATGTTGGAAAAGGAAATATCTTCCCATAACAACTAGACAGAAGCATTCTCAGAAACTTATTTGAGATGTGTGTACTCAACTAAGAGAATTGAACCACCGTTTTGAAGGAGCAGTTTTGAAACACTCTTTTTCTGGAATCTGCAAGTGGATATTTGGCTAGCTTTGGGGATTTCGCTGGAAGCGGGAATACATATAAAAAGCACACAGCAGCGTTCTGAGAAACTGCTTTCTGATGTTTGCATTCAAGTCAAAAGTTGAACACTCCCTTTCATAGTGCAGTCTGAAACACTCCTTTTGCAGTATCTGGAACTGGACTTTTGGAGCGCTTTCAGGGCTAAGGTGAAAAAGGAAATATCTTCCCATAAAAACTGGACAGAAGCATTCTCAGAAACTTGTTTATGCTGTATCTACTCAACTAACAAAGTTGAACCTTTCTTTTGATAGAGCAGTTTTGAAATGGTCTTTTTGTGGAATCTGCAAGTGGATATTTGGCTAGTTTTGAGGATTTCGTTGGAAGCGGGAATTCATACAAATTGCAGACTGCAGCGTTCTGAGAAACATCTTTGTGATGTTTGTATTCAGGACACAGAGTTGAACATTCCCTATCATAGAGCAGGTTGGAATCACTCCTTTTGTAGTATCTGGAAGTGGACATTTGGAGCGCTTTCAGGCCTATTTTGGAAAGGGAAATATCTTCCCGTAACAACTATGCAGAAGCATTCTCAGAAACTTGTTTGTGATGTGTGCCCTCTACTGACAGAGTTGAACCTTTCTTTTCATAGAGCAGTTTTGAAACACTCTTTTTGTAGAATCTGCAAGAGGATATTTGCATAGCTTTGAGGATTTCGTGGGAAACGGGATTGTCTTCAGGTAAAATCTAGACAGAAGCATTCTCAGAAACTTCTTTGGGATGTTTGCATTCAAGTCACAGAGTAGAACATTCCCTTTGGTAGAGCAGGTTTGAAACACTCTTTTTGTAGTATCTGGAAGTGGACATTTGGAGCGCTTTCAGGCCCATGTTGGAAAGGGAAATATCTTCCCGTAACAACTAGGCAGAAGCATTCTCAGAAACTTATTTGAGATGTGTGTACTCAACTAAGAGAATTGAACCACCGTTTTGAAGGAGCAGTTTTGAAACACTCTTTTTCTGGAATCTGCAAGAGTATATTTGCCTAGCCTTGAGGATTTCGTTGGAAACGGGATTGTCTTCAGATAAAATGCTAGACAGAAGCATTCTCAGAAACTTCTTTGGGATGTTTGCATTCAAGTCACAGAGTAGAACATTCCCTTTGGTAGAGCAGGTTTGAAACACTCTTTTTTTAGTATATGGAAGTGGACATTTGGAGCGCTTTCAGGCCTACGTTGGAAAAGGAAATATCTTCCCATAACAACTAGACAGAAGCATTCTCAGAAACTAGTTTCTGATGTGTGTCCTCAACTAACACAGTTGTACATTTCTTTAGACAGAACAGTTTTGAAACACTCTTTTTGTGGAATCTGCAAGTGGCTATTTGGCTAGATTTGAGGATTTCGTTGGAAACGGGATTACATATAAAAAGCAGTCAGCAGCATTCTCAGAAAGTTCTTTGTGATGATTGCATTCAAGTCACAGAATTGAACATTCCCTTTCACAGAGCAGGTTTGAAACACTCTTTTTGTAGTGTGTGTAAGTGGACATTTGGAGCGCTTTCAGGCCTAAGGTGAAAAAGGAAATATCTTCCCATAAAAACTAGACAGAAGCATCCTCAGAAACTTACTCGTGATGTGTGTCCTCAACTAAAGGAGTAGAACCTTTCTATTCATAGAGAAGTTTTGAAACGCTCTTTTTGTGGAATCTCCAAGTGGATATTTGGCTAGTTTTGAGGATTTCGTTGGAAGCGGGAATTCATACAAATTGCAGACTGCAGCGTTCTGAGAAACATCTTTGTGATGTTTGTATTCAGGACACAGAGTTGAACATTCCCTATCATAGAGCAGGTTTGAATCACTCCTTTTGTAGTATCTGGAAGTGGACATTTGGAGCGCTTTCAGGCCTATGTTGGAAAAGGAAATATCTTCCCATAACAACTAGACAGAAGCATTCTCAGAAACTTATTTGAGATGTGTGTACTCAACTAAGAGAATTGAACCACCGTTTTGAAGGAGCAGTTTTGAAACACTCTTTTTCTGGAATCTGCAAGTGGATATTTGCCTAGCTTTGGGGATTTCGCTGGAAGCGGGAATACATATAAAAAGCACACAGCAGCGTTCTGAGAAACTGCTTTCTGATGTTTGCATTCAAGTCAAAAGTTGAACACTCCCTTTCATAGAGCAGTCTTGAAACACCCCTTTTGTAGTATCTGGAACTGGACTTTTGGAGCGATTTCAGGGCTAAGGTGAAAAAGGAAATATCTTCCCATAAAAACTGGACAGAAGCATTCTCAGAAACTTGTTTATGCTGTATCTACTCAACTAACAAAGTTGAACCTTTCTTTTGATAGAGCAGTTTTGAAATGGTCTTTTTGTGGAATCTGCAAGTGGATATTTGGCTAGTTTTGAGGATTTCGTTGGAAGCGGGAATTCATACAAATTGCAGACTGCAGCGTTCTGAGAAACATCTTTGTGATGTTTGTATTCAGGACACAGAGTTGAACATTCCCTATCATAGAGCAGGTTGGAATCACTCCTTTTGTAGTATCTGGAAGTGGACATTTGGAGCGCTTTCAGGCCTATTTTGGAAAGGGAAATATCTTCCCGTAACAACTATGCAGAAGCATTCTCAGAAACTTGTTTGTGATGTGTGCCCTCTACTGACAGAGTTGAACCTTTCTTTTCATAGAGCAGTTTTGAAACACTCTTTTTGTAGAATCTGCAAGAGGATATTTGCATAGCTTTGAGGATTTCGTGGGAAACGGGATTGTCTTCAGGTAAAATCTAGACAGAAGCATTCTCAGAAACTTCTTTGGGATGTTTGCATTCAAGTCACAGAGTAGAACATTCCCTTTGGTAGAGTAGGTTTGAAACACTCTTTTTGTAGTATCTGGAAGTGGACATTTGGAGCGCTTTCAGGCCCATGTTGGAAAGGGAAATATGCTTCCCGTAACAACTAGGCAGAAGCATTCTCAGAAACTTATTTGAGATGTGTGTACTCAACCTAAGAGAATTGAACCACCGTTTTGAAGGAGCAGTTTTGAAACACTCTTTTTCTGGAATCTGCAAGAGTATATTTGCCTAGCCTTGAGGATTTCGTTGGAAACGGGATTGTCTTCAGAGAAAATCTAGACAGAAGCATTCTCAGAAACTTCTTTGGGATGTTTGCATTCAAGTCACAGAGTAGAACATTCCCTTTGGTAGAGCAGGTTTGAAACACTCTTTTTGTAGTGTGTGTAAGTGGACATTTGGAGAGCTTTCAGGCCTACGTTGGAAAAGGAAATATTCTTCCCATAACAACTAGACAGAAGCATTCTCAGAAACTAGTTTCTGATGTGTGTCCTCAACTAACACAGTTGAACTTTTCTTTATACAGAACAGTTTTGAAACACTCTTTTTGTGGAATCTGCAAGTGGATATTGGGCTAGATTTGAGGATTTCGTTGGAAACGGGATTACATATAAAAAGCAGACAGCAGCATTCTCAGAAAGTTCTTTGTGATGATTGCATTCAAGTCACAGAATTGAACATTCCCTTTCACAGAGCAGGTTTGAAACACTCTTTTTGTAGTGTGTGTAAGTGGACATTTGGAGCACTTACCGGCCTAAGGTGAAAAAGGAAATATCTTCCCATAAAAACTAGACAGAAGCATTCTCAGAAACTTACTCGTGATGTGTGTCCTCAACTAACGGAGTAGAACCTTTCTTTTCATAGAGAAGTTTTGAAACGCTCTTTTTGTGGAATCTGCAAGTGGATATTTGGCTAGTTTTGAGGATTTCGTTGGAAGCGGGAATTCATACAAATTGCAGACTGCAAGCGTTCTGAGAAACATCTTTGTGATGTTTGTATTCAGGACACAGAGTTGAACATTCCCTATCATAGAGCAGGTTTGAATCACTCCTTTTGTAGTATCTGGAAGTGGACATTTGGAGCGCTTTCAGGCCTATGTTGGAAAAGGAAATATCTTCCCATAACAACTAGACAGAAGCATTCTCGGAAAGTTATTTGAGATGTGTGTACTCAACTAAGAGAATTGAACCACCGTTTTGAAGGTGCAGTTTTGAAACACTCTTTTTCTGGAATCTGCAAGTGGATATTTGGCTAGCTTTGGGGATTTCGCTGGAAGCGGGAATACATATAAAAAGCACACAGCAGCGTTCTGAGAAACTGCTTTCTGATGTTTGCATTCAAGTCAAATTTGAACACTCCCTTTCATAGAGCAGTCTTGAAACACTCCTTTTGTAGTATCTGGAACTGGACATTTCGGGCGCTTTCAGGGCTAAGGTGAAAAAGAAAATATCTTCCCATAAAAACTGGACAGAAGCATTCTCAGAAACTTGTTTATGCTGTATCTACTCAACTAACAAAGTTGAACCTTTCTTTTGATAGAGCAGTTTTGAAATGCTCTTTTTGTGGAATCTGCAAGTGGATATTTGGCTAGTTTTGAGGATTTCGTTGGAAGCGGGAATTCATACAAATTGCAGACTGCAGCGTTCTGAGAAACATCTTTGTGATGTTTGTATTCAGGACACAGAGTTGAACATTCCCTATCATAGAGCAGGTTGGAATCACTCCTTTTGTAGTATCTGGAAGTGGACATTTGGAGCGCTTTCAGGCCTATTTTGGAAAGGGAAATATCTTCCCGTAACAACTATGCAGAAGCACTCTCAGAAACTTGTTTGTGATGTGTGCCCTCTACTGACAGAGTTGAACCTTTCTTTTCATAGAGCAGTTTTGAAACACTCTTTTTGTAGAATCTGCAAGAGGATATTTGCATAGCTTTGAGGATTTCGTGGGAAACGGGATTGTCTTCAGGTAAAATCTAGACAGAAGCATTCTCAGAAACTTCTTTGGGATGTTTGCATTCAAGTCACAGAGTAGAACATTCCCTTTGGTAGAGCAGGTTTGAAACACTCTTTTTGTAGTATCTGGAAGTGGACATTTGGAGCGCTTTCAGGCCTATGTTGGAAAGGGAAATATCTTCCCGTAACAACTAGGCAGAAGCATTCTCAGAAACTTATTTGAGATGTGTGTACTCAACTAAGAGAATTGAACCACCGTTTTGAAGGAGCAGTTTTGAAACACTCTTTTTCTGGAATCTGCAAGAGGATATTTGCCTAGCCTTGAGGATTTCTTTGGAAACGGGAATGTCTTCAGATCAAATCTAGACAGAAGCATTCTCAGAAACTTCTTTGGGATGTTTGCATTCAAGTCACACAGTAGAACATTCCCTTTGGTAGAGCAGGTTTGAAACACTCTTTTTTTAGTATATGGAAGTGGACATTTGGAGCGCTTTCAGGCCTACGTTGGAAAAGGAAATATCTTCCCATAACAACTAGACAGAAGCATTCTCAGAAACTAGTTTCTGATGTGTGTCCTCAACTAACACAGTTGAACATTTCTTTAGACAGAACAGTTTTGAAACTCTCTTTTTGTGGAATCTGCAAGTGGCTATTTGGCTAGATTTGAGGATTTCGTTGGAAACGGGATTACATATAAAAAGCAGACAGCAGCATTCTCAGAAAGTTCTTTGTGATGATTGCATTCAAGTCACAGAATTGAACATTCCCTTTCACAGAGCAGGTTTGAAACACTCTTTTTGTAGTGTGTGTAAGTGGACATTTGGAGCACTTTCCGGCCTAAGGTGAAAAAGGAAATATCTTCCCATAAAAACTAGACAGAAGCATTCTCAGAAACTTACTCGTGATGTGTGTCCTCAACTAAAGGAGTAGAACCTTTCTTTTCATAGAGAAGTTTTGAAACGCTCTTTTTGTGGAATCTGCAAGTGGATATTTGGCTAGTTTGGAGGATTTCGTTGGAAGCGGGAATTCATACAAATTGCAGACTGCAGCGTTCTGAGAAACATCTTTGTGATGTTTGTATTCAGGACACAGAGTTGAACATTCCCTATCATAGAGCAGGTTTGAATCACTCCTTTTGTAGTATCTGGAAGTGGACATTTGGAGCGCTTTCAGGCCTATGTTGGAAAAGGAAATATCTTCCCGTAACAACTAGACAGAAGCATTCTCAGAAACTTATTTGAGATGTGTGTACTCAACTAAGAGAATTGAACCACCGTTTTGAAGGAGCAGTTTTGAAACACTCTTTTTCTGGAATCTGCAAGTGGCTATTTGGCTAGCTTTGGGGATTTCGCTGGAAGCGGGAATACATATAAAAAGCACACAGCAGCGTTCTGAGAAACTGCTTTCTGATGTTTGCATTCAAGTCAAAAGTTGAACACTCCCTTTCATAGAGCAGTCCTGAAACACTCCTTTTGTAGTATCTGGAACTGGACTTTTGGAGCGCTTTCAGGGCTAAGGTGAAAAAGGAAATATCTTCCCATAAAAACTGGACAGAAGCATTCTCAGAAACTTGTTTATGCTGTATCTACTCAACTAACAAAGTTGAACCTTTCTTTTGATAGAGCAGTTTTGAAATGCTCTTTTTGTGGAATCTGCAAGTGGATATTTGGCTAGTTTTGAGGATTTCGTTGGAAGCGGGAATTCATACAAATTGCAGACTGCAGCGTTCTGAGAAACATCTTTGTGATGTTTGTATTCAGGACAGAGAGTTGAACATTCCCTATCATAGAGCAGGTTGGAATCACTCCTTTTGTAGTATCTGGAAGTGGACATTTGGAGCGCTTTCAGGCCTATGTTGAAAAAGGAAATATCTTCCCATAACAACTAGACACAAGCATTCTCAGAAACTTGTTTGTGATGTGTGCCCTCTACTGACAGAGTTGAACCTTTCTTTTCATAGAGCAGTTTTGAAACACTCTTTTTGTAGAATCTGCAAGAGGATATTTGCATAGCTTTGAGGATTTCGTGGGAAACGGGATTGTCTTCAGGTAAAATCTAGACAGAAGCATTCTCAGAAACTTCTTTGGGATGTTTGCATTCAAGTCACAGAGTAGAACATTCCCTTTGGTAGAGCAGGTTTGAAACACTCTTTTTGTAGTATCTGGAAGTGGACATTTGGAGCGCTTTCAGGCCTATGTTGGAAAGGGAAATATCTTCCCGTAACAACTAGGCAGAAGCATTCTCAGAAACTTATTTGAGATGCGTGTACTCAACTAAGAGAATTGAACCACCGTTTTGAAGGAGCAGTTTTGAAACACTCTTTTTCTGGAATCTGCAAGAGGATATTTGCCTAGCCTTGAGGATTTCGTTGGAAACGGGATTGTCTTCAGATCAAATCTAGACAGAAGCATTCTCAGAAACTTCTTTGGGATGTTTGCATTCAAGTCACAGAGTAGAACATTCCCTTTGGTAGAGCAGGTTTGAAACACTCTTTTTTTAGTATATGGAAGTGGACATTTGGAGCGCTTTCAGGCCTACGTTGGAAAAGGAAATATCTTCCCATAACAACTAGACAGAAGCATTCTCAGAAACTAGTTTCTGATGTGTGTCCTCAACTAACACAGTTGAACATTTCTTTAGACAGAACAGTTTTGAAACACTCTTTTTGTGGAATCTGCAAGTGGCTATTTGGCTAGATTTGAGGATTTCGTTGGAAACGGGATTACATATAAAAAGCAGTCAGCAGCATTCTCAGAAAGTTCTTTGTGATGATTGCATTCAAGTCACAGAATTGAACATTCCCTTTCACAGAGCAGGTTTGAAACACTCTTTTTGTAGTGTGTGTAAGTGGACATTTGGAGCACTTACCGGCCTAAGGTGAAAAAGGAAATATCTTCCCATAAAAACTAGACAGAAGCATTCTCAGAAACTTACTCGTGATATGTGTCCTCAACTAAAGGAGTAGAACCTTTCTTTTCATAGAGAAGTTTTGAAACGCTCTTTTTGTGGAATCTGCAGGTGGATATTTGGCTAGTTTTGAGGATTTCGTTGGAAGCGGGAATTCATACAAATTGCAGACTGCAGCGTTCTGAGAAACTGCTTTCTGATGTTTGCATTCAAGTCAAAAGTTGAACACTCCCTTTCATAGAGCAGTCTTGAAACACCCCTTTTGTAGTATGTGGAACTGGACATTTGGAGCGCTTTCAGGGCTAAGGTGAAAAAGGAAATATCTTCCCATAAAAACTGGACAGAAGCATTCTCAGAAACTTATTTGAGATGTGTGTACTCAACTAAGAGAATTGAACCACCGTTTTGAAGGAGCAGTTTTGAAACACTCTTTTTCTGGAATCTGCAAGTGGATATTTGGCTAGCTTTGGGGATTTCGCTGGAAGCGGGAATACATATAAAAAGCACACAGCAGCGTTCTGAGAAACTGCTTTCTGATGTTTGCGTTCAAGTCAAAAGTTGAACACTCCCTTTCATAGAGCAGTCTTGAAACACCCCTTTTGTAGTATCTGGAACTGGACTTTTGGAGCGATTTTAGGGCTAAGGTGAAAAAGGAAATATCTTCCCATAAAAACTGGACAGAAGCATTCTCAGAAACTTGTTTATGCTGTATCTACTCAACTAACAAAGTTGAACCTTTCTTTTGATAGAGCAGTTTTGAAATGGTCTTTTTGTGGAATCTGCAAGTGGATATTTGGCTAGTTTTGAGGATTTCGTTGGAAGCGGGAATTCATACAAATTGCAGACTGCAGCGTTCTGAGAAACATCTTTGTGATGTTTGTATTCAGGACACAGAGTTGAACATTCCCTATCATAGAGCAGGTTGGAATCACTCCTTTTGTAGTATCTGGAAGTGGACATTTGGAGCGCTTTCAGGCCTATTTTGGAAAGGGAAATATCTTCCCGTAACAACTATGCAGAAGCATTCTCAGAAACTTGTTTGTGATGTGTGCCCTCTACTGACAGAGTTGAACCTTTCTTTTCATAGAGCAGTTTTGAAACACTCTTTTTGTAGAATCTGCAAGAGGATATTTGCATAGCTTTGAGGATTTCGTGGGAAACGGGATTGTCTTCAGGTAAAATCTAGACAGAAGCATTCTCAGAAACTTCTTTGGGATGTTTGCATTCAAGTCACAGAGTAGAACATTCCCTTTGGTAGAGCAGGTTTGAAACACTCTTTTTGTAGTATCTGGAAGTGGACATTTGGAGCGCTTTCAGGCCCATGTTGGAAAGGGAAATATCTTCCCGTAACAACTAGGCAGAAGCATTCTCAGAAACTTATTTGAGATGTGTGTACTCAACTAAGAGAATTGAACCACCGTTTTGAAGGAGCAGTTTTAAAACCCTCTTTTTCTGGAATCTGCAAGAGTATATTTGCCTAGCCTTGAGGATTTCGTTGGAAACGGGATTGTCTTCAGATAAAATCTAGACAGAAGCATTCTCAGAAACTTCTTTGGGATGTTTGCATTCAAGTCGCAGAGTAGAACATTCCCTTTGGTAGAGCAGGTTTGAAACACTCTTTTTTTAGTATATGGAAGTGGACATTTGGAGCGCTTTCAGGCCTACGTTGGAAAACGAAATATCTTCCCATAACAACTAGACAGAAGCATTCTCAGAAACTAGTTTCTGATGTGTGTCCTCAACTAACACAGTTGTACATTTCTTTAGACAGAACAGTTTTGAAACACTCTTTTTGTGGAATCTGCAAGTGGATATTGGGCTAGATTTGAGGATTTCGTTGGAAACGGGATTACATATAAAAAGCAGACAGCAGAATTCTCAGAAAGTTCTTTGTGATGATTGCATTCAAGTCACAGAATTGAACATTCCCTTTCACAGAGCAGGTTTGAAACACTCTTTTTGTAGTGTGTGTAAGTGGACATTTGGAGCGCTTTCCGGCCTAAGGTGAAAAAGGACATATCTTCCCATAAAAACTAGACAGAAGCATTCTCAGAAACTTACTCGTGATGTGTGTCCTCAACTAAAGGAGTAGAACCTTTCTATTCATAGAGAAGTTTTGAAACGCTCTTTTTGTGGAATCTCCAAGTGGATATTTGGCTAGTTTTGAGGATTTCGTTGGAAGCGGGAATTCATACAAATTGCAGACTGCAGCGTTCTGAGAAACATCTTTGTGATGTTTGTATTCAGGACACAGAGATGAACATTCCCTATCATAGAGCAGGTTGGAATCACTCCTTTTGTAGTATCTGGAAGTGGACATTTGGAGCGCTTTCAGGCCTATGTTGAAAAAGGAAATATCTTCCCATAACAACTAGACACAAGCATTCTCAGAAACTTATTTGAGATGTGTGTACTCAACTAAGAGAATTGAACCACCGTTTTGAAGGAGCAGTTTTGAAACACTCTTTTTCTGGAATCTGCAAGTGGATATTTGGCTAGCTTTGGGGATTTCGCTGGAAGCGGGAATACATATAAAAAGCACACAGCAGCGTTCTGAGAAACTGCTTTCTGATGTTTGCATTCAAGTCAAAAGTTGAACACTCCCTTTCATAGAGCAGTCTTGAAACACCCCTTTTGTAGTATCTGGAACTGGACATTTGGAGCGCTTTCAGGGCTAAGGTGAAAAAGGAAATATCTTCCCATAAAAACTGGACAGAAGCATTCTCAGAAACTTGTTTATGCTGTATCTACTCAACTAACAAAGTTGAACCTTTCTTTTGATAGAGCAGTTTTGAAATGCTCTTTTTGTGGAATCTGCAAGTGGATATTTGGCTAGGTTTGAGGATTTCCTTGGAAGCGGGAATTCATACAAATTGCAGACTGTAGCGTTGTGAGAAACATCTTTGTGATGTTTGTATTCAGGACACAGAGTTGAACATTCCCTATCATAGAGCAGGTTGGAATCACTCCTTTTGTAGTATCTGGAAGTGGACATTTGGAGCGCTTTCAGGCCTATGTTGAAAAAGGAAATATCTTCCCATAACAACTAGGCAGAAGCATTCTCAGAAACTTATTTGAGATGTGTGTACTCAACTAAGAGAATTGAACCACCGTTTTGAAGGAGCAGTTTTGAAACTCTCTTTTTCTGGAATCTGCAAGTGGATATTTGGCTAGCTTTGGGGATTTCGCTGGAAGCGGGAATACATATAAAAAGCACACAGCAGCGTTCTGAGAAACTGCTTTCTGATGTTTGCATTCAAGTCAAAAGTTGAACACTCCCTTTCATAGAGCAGTCCTGAAACACCCCTTTTGTAGTATCTGGAACTGGACTTTTGGAGCGATTTCAGGGCTAAGGTGAAAAAGGAAATATCTTCCCATAAAAACTGGACAGAAGCATTCTCAGAAACTTGTTTATGCTGTATCTACTCAACTAACAAAGTTGAACCTTTCTTTTGATAGAGCAGTTTTGAAATGGTCTTTTTGTGGAATCTGCAAGTGGATATTTGGCTAGTTTTGAGGATTTCGTTGGAAGCGGGAATTCATACAAATTGCAGACTGCAGCGTTCTGAGAAACATCTTTGTGATGTTTGTATTCAGGACACAGAGTTGAACATTCCCTATCATAGAGCAGGTTGGAATCACTCCTTTTGTAGTATCTGGAAGTGGACATTTGGAGCGCTTTCAGGCCTATTTTGGAAAGGGAAATATCTTCCCGTAACAACTATGCAGAAGCATTCTCAGAAACTTGTTTGTGATGTGTGCCCTCTACTGACAGAGTTGAACCTTTCTTTTCATAGAGCAGTTTTGAAACACTCTTTTTGTAGAATCTGCAAGAGGATATTTGCATAGCTTTGAGGATTTCGTGGGAAACGGGATTGTCTTCAGGTAAAATCTAGACAGAAGCATTCTCAGAAACTTCTTTGGGATGTTTGCATTCAAGTCACAGAGTAGAACATTCCCTTTGGTAGAGCAGGTTTGAAACACTCTTTTTGTAGTATCTGGAAGTGGACATTTGGAGCGCTTTCAGGCCCATGTTGGAAAGGGAAATATCTTCCCGTAACAACTAGGCAGAAGCATTCTCAGAAACTTATTTGAGATGTGTGGACTCAACTAAGAGAATTGAACCACCGTTTTGAAGGAGCAGTTTTGAAACCCTCTTTTTCTGGAATCTGCAAGAGTATATTTGCCTAGCCTTGAGGATTTCGTTGGAAACGGGATTGTCTTCAGATAAAATCTAGACAGAAGCATTCTCAGAAACTTCTTTGGGATGTTTGCATTCAAGTCACAGAGTAGAACATTCCCTTTGGTAGAGCAGGTTTGAAACACTCTTTTTTTAGTATATGGAAGTGGACATTTGGAGCGCTTTCAGGCCTACGTTGGAAAAGGAAATATCTTCCCATAACAACTAGACAGAAGCATTCTCAGAAACTAGTTTCTGATGTGTGTCCTCAACTAACACAGTTGAACATTTCCTTAGACAGAACAGTTTTGAAACACTCTTTTTGTGGAATCTGCAAGTGGCTATCTGGCTAGATTTGAGGATTTCGTTGGAAACGGGATTACATATAAAAAGCAGTCAGCAGCATTCTCAGAAAGTTCTTTGTGATGATTGCATTCAAGTCACAGAATTGAACATTCCCTTTAACAGAGCAGGTTTGAAACACTCTTTTTGTAGTGTGTGTAAGTGGACATTTGGAGCACTTTCCGGACTAAGGTGAAAAAGGAAATATCTTCCCATAAAAACTAGACAGAAGCATTCTCAGAAACTTACTCGTGATGTGTGTCCTCAACTAAAGGAGTAGAACCTTTCTTTTCATAGAGAAGTTTTGAAACGCTCTTTTTGTGGAATCTGCAAGTGGATATTTGGCTAGTTTGGAGGATTTCATTGGAAGCGGGAATTCATACAAATTGCAGACTGCAGCGTTCTGAGAAACATCTTTGTGATGTTTGTATTCAGGACACAGAGTTGAACATTCCCTATCATAGAGCAGGTTTGAATCACTCCTTTTGTAGTATCTGGAAGTGGACATTTGGAGCGCTTTCAGGCCTATGTTGGAAAAGGAAATATCTTCCCATAACAACTAGACAGAAGCATTCTCAGAAACTTATTTGAGATGTGTGTACTCAACTAAGAGAATTGAACCACCGTTTTGAAGGAGCAGTTTTGAAACACTCTTTTTCTGGAATCTGCAAGTGGATATTTGGCTAGCTTTGGGGATTTCGCTGGAAGCGGGAATACATATAAAAAGCACACAGCAGCGTTCTGAGAAACTGCTTTCTGATGTTTGCATTCAAGTCAAAAGTTGAACACTCCCTTTCATAGTGCAGTCCTGAAACACTCCCTTTGTAGTATCTGGAACTGGACTTTTGGAGCGCTTTCAGGGCTAAGGTGAAAAAGGAAATATCTTCCCATAAAAACTGGACAGAAGCATTCTCAGAAACTTGTTTATGCTGTATCTACTCAACTAACAAAGTTGAACCTTTCTTTTGATAGAGCAGTTTTGAAATGCTCTTTTTGTGGAATCTGCAAGTGGATATTTGGCTAGTTTTGAGGATTTCGTTGGAAGCGGGAATTCATACAAATTGCAGACTGCAGCGTTCTGAGAAACATCTTTGTGATGTTTGTATTCAGGACACAGAGTTGAACATTCCCTATCATAGAGCAGGTTGGAATCACTCCTTTTGTAGTATCTGGAAGTGGACATTTGGAGCGCTTTCAGGCCTATTTTGGAAAGGGAAATATCTTCCCGTAACAACTATGCAGAAGCATTCTCAGAAACTTGTTTGTGATGTGTGCCCTCTACTGACAGAGTTGAACCTTTCTTTTCATAGAGCAGTTTTGAAACACTCTTTTTGTAGAATCCGCAAGAGGATATTTGCATAGCTTTGAGGATTTCCTGGGAAACGGGATTGTCTTCAGGTAAAATCTAGACAGAAGCATTCTCAGAAACTTCTTTGGGATGTTTGCATTCAAATCACAGAGTAGAACATTCCCTTTGGTAGAGCAGGTTTGAAACACTCTTTTTGTAGTATCTGGAAGTGGACATTTGGAGCGCTTTCAGGCCCATGTTGGAAAGGGAAATACCTTCCCGTAACAACTAGGCAGAAGCATTCTCAGAAACTTATTTGAGATGTGTGTACTCAACTAAGAGAATTGAACCACCGTTTTGAAGGAGCAGTTTTGAAACACTCTTTTTCTGGAATCTGCAAGAGGATATTTGCCTAGCCTTGAGGATTTCGTTGGAAACGGGATTGTCTTCAGATCAAATCTAGACAGAAGCATTCTCAGAAACTTCTTTGGGATGTTTGCATTCATGTCACACAGTAGAACATTCCCTTTGGTAGAGCAGGTTTGAAACACTCTTTTTTAAGTATATGGAAGTGGACATTTGGAGCGCTTTCAGGCCTACGTTGGAAAAGGAAATATCTTCCCATAACAACTAGACAGAAGCATTCTCAGAAACTAGTTTCTGATGTGTGTCCTCAACTAACACAGTTGAACATTTCTTTAGACAGAACAGTTTTGAAACACTCTTTTTGTGGAATCTGCAAGTGGCTATTTGGCTAGATTTGAGGATTTCGTTGGAAACGGGATTACATATAAAAAGCAGACAGCAGCATTCTCAGAAAGTTCTTTGTGATGATTGCATTCAAGTCACAGAATTGAACATTCCCTTTCACAGAGCAGGTTTGAAACACTCTTTTTGTAGTGTGTGTAAGTGGACATTTGGAGCACTTACCGGCCTAAGGTGAAAAAGGAAATATCTTCCCATAAAAACTAGACAGAAGCATTCTCAGAAACTTACTCGTGATGTGTGTCCTCAACTAAAGGAGTAGAACCTTTCTTTTCATAGAGAAGTTTTGAAACGCTCTTTTTGTGGAATCTGCAAGTGGATATTTGGCTAGTTTTGAGGATTTCGTTGGAAGCGGGAATTCATACAAATTGCAGACTGCAGCGTTCTGAGAAACATCTTTGTGATGTTTGTATTCAGGACACAGAGTTGAACATTCCCTATCATAGAGCAGGTTTGAATCACTCCTTTTGTAGTATCTGGAAGTGGACATTTGGAGCGCTTTCAGGCCTATGTTGGAAAAGGAAATATCTTCCCATAACAACTAGACAGAAGCATTCCCAGAAACTTATTTGAGATGTGTGTACTCAACTAAGAGAATTGAACCACCGTTTTGAAGGAGCAGTTTGGAAACACTCTTTTTCTGGAATCTGCAAGTGGATATTTGGCTAGCTTTGGGGATTTCGCTGGAAGCGGGAATACATATAAAAAGCACACAGCAGCGTTCTGAGAAACTGCTTTCTGATGTTTGCATTCAAGTCAAAAGTTGAACACTCCCTTTCATAGAGCAGTCTTGAAACACCCCTTTTGTAGTATCTGGAACTGGACATTTGGAGCGCTTTCAGGGCTAAGGTGAAAAAGGAAATATCTTCCCATAAAAACTGGACAGAAGCATTCTCAGAAACTTGTTTATGCTGTATCTACTCAACTAACAAAGTTGAACCTTTCTTTTGATAGAGCAGTTTTGAAATGCTCTTTTTGTGGAATCTGCAAGTGGATATTTGGCTAGTTTTGAGGATTTCGTTGGAAGCGGGAATTCATACAAATTGCAGACTGCAGCGTTCTGAGAAACATCTTTGTGATGTTTGTATTCAGGACAGAGAGTTGAACATTCCCTATCATAGAGCAGGTTGGAATCACTCCTTTTGTAGTATCTGGAAGTGGACATTTGGAGCGCTTTCAGGCCTATGTTGAAAAAGGAAATATCTTCCCATAACAACTAGACACAAGCATTCTCAGAAACTTGTTTGTGATGTGTGCCCTCTAGTGACAGAGTTGAACCTTTCTTTTCATAGAGCAGTTTTGAAACACTCTTTTTGTAGAATCTGCAAGAGGATATTTGCATAGCTTTGAAGATTACGTGGGAAACGGGATAGTCTTCAGGTAAAATCTAGACAGAAGCATTCTCAGAAACTTCTTTGGGATGTTTGCATTCAAGTCACAGAGTAGAACATTCCCTTTGGTAGAGTAGGTTTGAAACACTCTTTTTGTAGTATCTGGAAGTGGACATTTGGAGCGCTTTCAGGCCTATGTTGGAAAGGGAAATATCTTCCCGTAACAACTAGGCAGAAGCATTCTCAGGAAACTTATTTGAGATGTGTGTATTCAACTAAGAGAATTGAACCACCGTTTTGAAGGAGCAGTTTTGAAACACTCTTTTTCTGGAATCTGAAAGAGGATATTTGCCTAGCCTTGAGGATTTCGTTGGAAACGGGATTGTCTTCAGATCAAATCTATACAGAAGCATTCTCAGAAACTTCTTTGGGATGTTTGCATTCAAGTCACAGAGTAGAACATTCCCTTTGGTAGAGCAGGTTTGAAACACTCTTTTTTTAGTATATGGAAGTGGACATTTGGAGCGCATTCAGGCCTACGTTGGAAAAGGAAATATCTTCCCATAACAACTAGACAGAAGCATTCTCAGAAACTAGTTTCTGATGTGTGTCCTCAACTAACACAGTTGCACATTTCTTTAGACAGAACAGTTTTGAAACACTCTTTTTGTGGAATCTGCAAGTGGCTATTTGGCTAGATTTGAGGATTTCGTTGGAAACGGGATTACATATAAAAAGAAGTCAGCAGCATTCTCAGAAAGTTCTTTGTGATGATTGCATTCAAGTCACAGAATTGAACATTCCCTTTCACAGAGCAGGTTTGAAATACTCTTTTTTAGTGTGTGTAATTGGACATTTGGAGCACTTTCCGGCCTAAGGTGGAAAAGGAAATATCTTCCTATAAAAACTAGACAGAAGCATTCTCAGAAACTTACTCGTGATGTGTGTCCTCCACTAAATGAGTAGAACCTTTCTTTTCATAGAGAAGTTTTGAAACGCTCTTTTTGTAGAATCTGCAAGAGGATATTTGCATAGCTTTGAGGATTTCGTGGGAAACGGGATTGTCTTCAGGTAAAATCTAGACAGAAGCATTCTGAGAAACTTCTTTGGGATGTTTGCATTCAAGTCACAGAGTAGAACATTCCCTTTGGTAGAGCAGGTTTGAAACACTCTTTTTGTATTATCTGGAAGTGGACATTTGGAGCGCTTTCAGGCCTATGTTGGAAAGGGAAATATCTTCCCGTAACAACTAGGCAGAAGCATTCTCAGAAACTTATTTGAGATGTGTGTACTCAACTAAGAGAATTGAATCACCGTTTTGAAGGAGCAGTTTTGAAACACTCTTTTTCTGGAATCTGCAAGAGGATATTTGCCTAGCCTTGAGGATTTCGTTGGAAACGGGATTGTCTTTAGATCAAATCTAGACAGAAGCATTCTCAGAAACTTCTTTGGGATGTTTGCATTCAAGTCACAGAGTAGAACATTCCCTTTGGTAGAGCAGGTTTGAAACACTCTTTTTTTAGTATATGGAAGTGCACATTTGGAGCGCTTTCAGGCCTACGTTGGAAAAGGAAATATCTTCCCATAACAACTAGACAGAAGCATTCTCAGAAACTAGTTTCTGATGTGTTTCCTCAACTAACACAGTTGAACATTTCTTTAGACAGAACAGTTTTGAAACACTCTTTTTGTGGAATCTGCAAGTGGCTATTTGGCTAGATTTGAGGATTTAGTTGGAAACGGGATTACATATAAAAAGCAGACAGCAGCATTCTCAGAAACTTCTTTGTGATGATTGCATTCAAGTCACAGAATTGAACATTCCCTTTCACAGAGCAGGTTTGAAACACTCTTTTTGTAGTGTGTGTAAGTGGACATTTGGAGCGCTTTCCGGCCTAAGGTGAACAAGGAAATATCTTCCCATAAAAACTAGACAGAAGCATTCTCAGAAACTTACTCGTGATGTGTGTCCTCAACTAAAGGAGTAGAACCTTTCTTTTCATAGAGAAGTTTTGAAACGCTGTTTTTGTGGAATCTGCAAGTGGATATTTGGCTAGTTTGGAGGATTTCGTTGGAAGCGGGAATTCATACAAGATGCAGACTGCAGCGTTCTGAGAAACATCTTTGTGATGTTTGTATTCAGGACACAGAGTTGAACATTCCCTATCATAGAGCAGGTTTGAATCACTCCTTTTGTAGTATCTGGAAGTGGACATTTGGAGCGCTTTCAGGCCCTATGTTGGAAAAGGAAATATCTTCCCATAACAACTAGACAGAAGCATTCTCAGAAACTTATTTGAGATGTGTGTACTCAACTAAGAGAATTGAACCACCGTTTTGAAGGAGCAGTTTTGAAACACTCTTTTTCTGGAATCTGCAAGTGGATATTTGGCTAGCTTTGGGGATTTCGCTGGAAGCGGGAATACATATAAAAAGCACACAGCAGCGTTCTGAGAAGCTGCTTTCTGATGTTTGCATTCAAGTCAAAAGTTGAACACTCCCTTTCATAGAGCAGTCTTGAAACACCCCTTTTGTAGTATCTGGAACTGGACTTTTGGAGCGATTTCAGGGCTAAGGTGAAAAAGGAAATATCTTCCCATAAAAACTGGACAGAAGCATTCTCAGAAACTTGTTTATGCTGTATCTACTCAACTAACAAAGTTGAACCTTTCTTTTGATAGAGCAGTTTTGAAATGGTCTTTTTGTGGAATCTGCAAGTGGATATTTGGCTAGTTTTGAGGATTTCGTTGGAAGCGGGAATTCATACAAATTGCAGACTGCAGCGTTCTGAGAAACATCTTTGTGATGTTTGTATTCAGGACACAGAGTTGAACATTCCCTATCATAGAGCAGGTTGGAATCACTCCTTTTGTAGTATCTGGAAGTGGACATTTGGAGCGCTTTCAGGCCTATGTTGGAAAGGGAAATATCTTCCCGTAACAGCTATGCAGAAGCATTCTCAGAAACTTGTTTGTGATGTGTGCCCTCTACTGACAGAGTTGAACCTTTCTTTTCATAGAGCAGTTTTGAAACACTCTTTTTGTAGAATCTGCAAGAGGATATTTGCATAGCTTTGAGGATTTCGTGGGAAACGGGATTGTCTTCAGGTAAAATCTAGACAGAAGCATTCTCAGAAACTTCTTTGGGATGTTTGCATTCAAGTCACAGAGTAGAACATTCCCTTTGGTAGAGCAGGTTTGAAACACTCTTTTTGTAGTATCTGGAAGTGGACATTTGGAGCGCTTTCAGGCCCATGTTGGAAAGGGAAATATCTTCCCGTAACAACTAGGCAGAAGCATTCTCAGAAACTTATTTGAGATGTGTGTACTCAACTAAGAGAATTGAACCACCGTTTTGAAGGAGCAGTTTTGAAACCCTCTTTTTCTGGAATCTGCAAGAGTATATTTGCCTAGCCTTGAGGATTTCGTTGGAAACGGGATTGTCTTCAGATAAAATCTAGACAGAAGCATTCTCAGAAACTTCTTTGGGATGTTTGCATTCAAGTCACAGAGTAGAACATTCCCTTTGGTAGAGCAGGTTTGAAACACTCTTTTTTTAGTATATGGAAGTGGACATTTGGAGCGCTTTCAGGCCTACGTTGGAAAAGGAAATATCTTCCCATAACAACTAGACAGAAGCATTCTCAGAAACTAGTTTCTGATGTGTGTCCTCAACTAACACAGTTGTACATTTCTTTAGACAGAACAGTTTTGAAACACTCTTTTTGTGGAATCTGCAAGTGGATATTGGGCTAGATTTGAGGATTTCGTTGGAAACGGGATTACATATAAATAGCAGTCAGCAGCATTCTCAGAAAGTTCTTTGTGATGATTGCATTCAAGTCACAGAATTGAACATTCCCTTTCACAGAGCAGGTTTGAAACACTCTTTTTCTAGTGTGTGTAAGTGGACATTTGGAGCGCTTTCCGGCCTAAGGTGAAAAAGGAAATATCTTCCCATAAAAACTAGACAGAAGCATTCTCAGAAACTTACTTGTGATGTGTGTCCTCAACTAAAGGAGTAGAACCTTTCTATTCATAGAGAAGTTTTGAAACGCTCTTTTTGTGGAATCTCCAAGTGGATATTTGGCTAGTTTTGAGGATTTCGTTGGAAGCGGGAATTCATACAAATTGCAGACTGCAGCGTTCTGAGAAACATCTTTGTGATGTTTGTATTCAGGACACAGAGATGAACATTCCCTATCATAGAGCAGGTTGGAATCACTCCTTTTGTAGTATCTGGAAGTGGACATTTGGAGCGCTTTCAGGCCTATGTTGAAAAAGGAAATATCTTCCCATAACAACTAGACACAAGCATTCTCAGAAACTTATTTGAGATGTGTGTACTCAACTAAGAGAATTGAACCACCGTTTTGAAGGAGCAGTTTTGAAACTCTCTTTTTCTGGAATCTGCAAGTGGATATTTGGCTAGCTTTGGGGATTTCGCTGGAAGCGGGAATACATATAAAAAGCACACAGCAGCGTTCTGAGAAACTGCTTTCTGATGTTTGCATTCAAGTCAAAAGTTGAACACTCCCTTTCATAGAGCAGTCTTGAAACACCCCTTTTGTAGTATCTGGAACTGGACTTTTGGAGCGATTTCAGGGCTAAGGTGAAAAAGGAAATATCTTCCCATAAAAACTGGACAGAAGCATTCTCAGAAACTTGGTTATGCTGTATCTACTCAACTAACAAAGTTGAACCTTTCTTTTGATAGAGCAGTTTTGAAATGGTCTTTTTGTGGAATCTGCAAGTGGATATTTGGCTAGTTTTGAGGATTTCGTTGGAAGCGGGAATTCATACAAATTGCAGACTGCAAGCGTTCTGAGAAACATCTTTGTGATGTTTGTATTCAGGACACAGAGAGGAACATTTCCTATCATAGAGCAGGTTCGAATCACTCCTTTTGTAGTATCTGGAAGTGGACATTTGGAGCGCTTTCAGGCCTATGTTGAAAAAGGAAATATCTTCCCATAACAACTAGACACAAGCATTCTCAGAAACTTGTTTGTGATGTGTGCCCTCTACTGACAGAGTTGAACCTTTCTTTTCATAGAGCAGTTTTGAAACACTCTTTTTGTAGAATCTGCAAGAGGATATTTGCATAGCTTTGAGGATTTCGTGGGAAACGGGATTGTCTTCAGGTAAAATCTAGACAGAAGCATTCTCAGAAACTTCTTTGGGATGTTTACATTCAAGTCACAGAGTAGAACATTCCCTTTGGTAGAGCAGGTTTGAAACCCTCTTTTTGTAGTATCTGGAAGTGGACATTTGGAGCGCTTTCTGGCCCATGTTGCAAAAGGAAATATCTTCCCGTAACAACTAGGCAGAAGCATTCTCAGAAACTTATTTGAGATGTGTGTACTCAACTAAGAGAATTGAACCACCGTTTTGAAGGAGCAGTTTTGAAACCCTCTTTTTCTGGAATCTGCAAGAGTATATTTGCCTAGCCTTGAGGATTTCGTTGGAAACGGGATTGTCTTCAGATCAAATCTAGACAGAAGCATTCTCAGAAACTTCTTTGGGATGTTTGCATTCAAGTCACAGAGTAGAACATTCCTTTGGTAGAGCAGGTTTGAAACACTCTTTTTTTAGTATATGGAAGTGGACATTTGGAGCGCTTTCAGGCCTACGTTGGAAAAGGAAATATCTTCCCATAACAACTAGACAGAAGCATTCTCAGAAACTAGTTTCTGATGTGTGTCCTCAACTAACACAGTTGAACATTTCTTTAGACAGAACAGTTTTGAAACACTCTTTTTGTGGAATCTGCAAGTGGATATTTGGCTAGATTTGAGGATTTCGTTGGAAACGGGATTACATATAAAAAGCAGACAGCAGCATTCTCAGAAACTTCTTTGTGATGATTGCATTCAAGTCACAGAATTGAACATTCCCTTTCACAGAGCAGGTTTGAAACACTCTTTTTGTAGTGTGTGTAAGTGGACATTTAGAGCGCTTTCCGGCCTAAGGTGAACAAGGAAATATCTTCCCATAAAAACTAGACAGAAGCATTCTCAGAAACTTACTCGTGATGTGTGTCCTCAACTAAAGGAGTAGAACCTTTCTTTTCATAGAGAAGTTTTGAAACGCTCTTTTTGTGGAATCTGCAAGTGGATATTTGGCTAGTTTTGAGGATTTCGTTGGAAGCGGGAATTCATACAAATTGCAGACTGCAGCGTTCTGAGAAACATCTTTGTGATGTTTGTATTCAGGACACAGAGATGAACATTCCCTATCATAGAGCAGGTTGGAATCACTCCTTTTGTAGTATCTGGAAGTGGACATTTGGAGCGCTTTCAGGCCTATGTTGAAAAAGGAAATATCTTCCCATAACAACTAGACACAAGCATTCTCAGAAACTTATTTGAGATGTGTGTACTCAACTAAGAGAATTGAACCACCGTTTTGAAGGAGCAGTTTTGAAACTCTCTTTTTCTGGAATCTGCAAGTGGATATTTGGCTAGCTTTGGGGATTTCGCTGGAAGCGGGAATACATATAAAAAGCACACAGCAGCGTTCTGAGAAACTGCTTTCTGATGTTTGCATTCAAGTCAAAAGTTGAACACTCCCTTTCATAGAGCAGTCTTGAAACACCCGTTTTGTAGTATCTGGAACTGGACTTTTGGAGCGATTTCAGGGCTAAGGTGAAAAAGGAAATATCTTCCCATAAAAACTGGACAGAAGCATTCTCAGAAACTTGTTTATGCTGTATCTACTCAACTAACAAAGTTGAACCTTTCTTTTGATAGAGCAGTTTTGAAATGGTCTTTTTGTGGAATCTGCAAGTGGATATTTGGCTAGTTTTGAGGATTTCGTTGGAAGCGGGAATTCATACAAATTGCAGACTGCAGCGTTCTGAGAAACATCTTTGTGATGTTTGTATTCAGGACACAGAGTTGAACATTCCCTATCATAGAGCAGGTTGGAATCACTCCTTTTGTAGTATCTGGAAGTGGACATTTGGAGCGCTTTCAGGCCTATTTTGGAAAGGGAAATATCTTCCCGTAACAACTATGCAGAAGCATTCTCAGAAACTTGTTTGTGATGTGTGCCCTCTACTGACAGAGTTGAACCTTTCTTTTCATAGAGCACTTTTGAAACACTCTTTTTGTAGAATCTGCAAGAGGATATTTGCATAGCTTTGAGGATTTCGTGGGAAACGGGATTGTCTTCAGGTAAAATCTAGACAGAAGCATTCTCAGAAACTTATTTGAGATGTGTGTACTGAACTAAGAGAATTGAACCACCGTTTTGAAGGAGCAGGTTTGAAACACTCTTTTTGTAGTATCTGGAAGTGGACATTTGGAGCGCTTTCAGGCCTATGTTGGAAAGGGAAATATCTTCCCGTAACAACTAGGCAGAAGCATTCTCAGAAACTTATTTGAGATGTGTGTACTCAACTAAGAGAATTGAACCACCGTTTTGAAGGAGCAGTTTTGAAACACTCTTTTTCTGGAATCTGCAAGAGGATATTTGCATAGATTTGAGGATTTCGTTGGAAACGGGATTGTCTTCAGATCCAATCTAGACAGAAGCATTCTCAGAAACTTCTTTGGTATGTCTGCATTCAAGTCACAGAGTAGAACATTCCCTTTGGTAGAGCAGGTTTGAAACACTCTTTTTTTAGTATATGGAAGTGGACATTTGGAGCGCTTTCAGGCCTACGTTGGAAAAGGAAATATCTTCCCATAACAACTAGACAGAAGCATTCTCAGAAACTAGTTTCTGATGTGTGTCCTCAACTAACACAGTTGAACATTTCTTTAGACAGAACAGTTTTGAAACACTCTCTTTGTGGAATCTGCAAGTGGATATTTGGCTAGATTTGAGGATTTCGTTGGAAACGGGATTACATATAAAAAGCAGACAGCAGTATTCTCAGAAACTTCTTTGTGATGATTGCATTCAAGTCACAGAATTGAACATTCCCTTTCACAGAGCAGGTTTGAAACACTCTTTTTGTAGTGTGTGTAAGCGGACGTTTGGAGCCCTTTCCGGCCTAAGGTGAAAAAGGAAATATCTTCCCGTAAAACCTAGACAGAAGCATTCTCAGAAACTTACTCGTGATGTGTGTACTCAACTAAAGGAGTAGAAACTTTCTTTTCATAGAGAAGTTTTGAAACGCTCTTTTTGTGGAATCTGCAAGTGGATATTTGGCTAGTTTTGAGGATTTCGTTGGAAGCGGGAATTCATACAAATTGCAGACTGCAAGCGTTCTGAGAAACATCTTTGTGATGTTTGTATTCAGGACACAGAGTTGAACATTCCCTATCATAGAGCAGGTTTGAATCACTCCTTTTGTAGTATCTGGACGTGGACATCTGGAGCGCTTTCAGGCCTATGTTGGAAAAGGAAATATCTTCCCATAACAAATAGACAGAAGCATTCTCAGAAACTTATTTGAGATGTGTGTACTCAACTAAGAGAATTGAACCACCGTTTTGAAGGAGCAGTTTTGAAACACTCTTTTTCTGGAATCTGCAATTGGATATTTGGCTAGCTTTGGGGATTTCGCTGGAAGCGGGAATACATATAAAAAGCACACAGCAGCGTTCTGAGAAACTTCTTTCTGATGTTCGCATTCAAGTCAAAAGTTGAACACTCCCTTTCATAGAGCAGTCTTGAAACTCCCCTTTTGTGGTATCTGGAAGTGGACATTTGGAGTGCTTTCAGGGCTAAGGTGAAAAAGGAAATATCTTCCCATAAAAACTGGACAGAAGCATTCTCAGAAACTTGTTCATGCTGTATCTACTCTACTAAAAAAGTTGAACCTTTCTTTTGATAGAGCAGTTTTGAAATGCTCTTTTTGTGGAATCTGCAAGTGGATATTTGGCTAGATTTGAGGATTTCGTTGGAAGCTGGAATACATACAAATTGCAGACTGCAGCGTTCTGAGAAACATCTTTGTGATGTTTGTATTCAGGACACAGAGATGAACATTCCCTATCATAGAGCAGGTTGGAATCACTCCTTTTGTAGTATCTGGAAGTGGACATTTGGAGCGCTTTCAGGCCTACGTTGAAAAAGGAAATATCTTCCCATAACAACTAGACACAAGCATTCTCAGAAACTTGTTTGTGATGTGTGCCCTCTACTGACAGAGTTGAACCTTTCTTTTCATAGAGCAGTTTTGAAACACTCTTTTTGTAGAATCTGCAAGAGGATATTTGCATAGCTTTGAGGATTTCGTGGGAAACGGGATTGTCTTCAGGTAAAATCTAGACAGAAGCATTCTCAGAAAATTCTTCGGATGTTTGCATTCAAGTCATAGAGTAGAACATTCCCTTTGGTAGAGCAGGTTTGAAACACTCTTTTTGTAGTATCTGGAAGTGGACATTTGGAGCGCTTTCAGGCCTATGTTGGAAAGGGAAATATCTTCCCGTAACAACTAGGCAGGAGCATTCTCAGAAACTTATTTGAGATGTGTGTACTCAACTAAGAGAATTGAACCACCGTTTTGAAGGAGCAGTTTTGAAACACTCTTTTTCTGGAATCTGCAAGAGGATATTTGCATAGATTTGAGGATTTCGTTGGAAACGGGATTGTCTTCAGATCCAATCTAGACAGAAGCATTCTCAGAAACTTCTTTGGGATGTTTGCTTTCAAGTCACAGAGTAGAACATTCCCTTTGGTAGAGCAGGTTTTAAACACTCTTTTTTTAGTATATGGAAGTGGACATTTGGAGCGCTTTCAGGCCTACGTTGGAAAAGGAAATATCTTCCCATAACAACTAGACAGAAGCATTCTCAGAAACTAGTTTCTGATGTGTGTCCTCAACTAACACAGTTGAACATTTCTTTAGACAGAACAGTTTTGAAACACTCTCTTTGTGGAATCTGCAAGTGGATATTTGGCTAGATTTGAGGATTTCGTTGGAAACGGGATTACATATAAAAAGCAGACAGCAGCATTCTCAGAAAGTTCTTTGTGATGATTGCATTCAAGTCACAGAATTGAACATTCCCTTTCACAGAGCAGGTTTGAAACACTCTTTTTGTAGTGTGTGTAAGTGGACATTTGGAGCACTTTCCGGCCTAAGGTGAAAAAGGAAATATCTTCCCTTAAAAACTAGACAGAAGCATTCTCAGAAACTTACTCGTGATGTGTGTCCTCAACTAAAGGAGTAGAACCTTTCTTTTCATAGAGAAGTTTTGAAACGCTCTTTTTGTGGAATCTGCAAGTGGATATTTGGCTAGTTTGGAGGATTTCGTTGGAAGCGGGAATTCATACAAATTGCAGACTGCAGCGTTCTGAGAAACATCTTTGTGATGTTTGTATTCAGGACACAGAGTTGAACATTCCCTATCATAGAGCAGGTTGGAATCACTCCTTTTGTAGTATCTGGAAGTGGACATTTGGAGCGCTTTCAGGCCTATGTTGGAAAAGGAAATATCTTCCCATAACAACTAGACAGAAGCATTTTCAGAAACTTATTTGAGATGTGTGTACTCAACTAAGAGAATTGAACCACCGTTTTGAAGGAGCAGTTTTGAAACACTCTTTTTCTGGAATCTGCAAGTGGATATTTGGCTAGCTTTGGGGATTTCGCTGGAGGCGGGAATACATATAAAAAGCACACAGCAGCGTTCTGAGAAACTGCTTTCTGATGTTTGCATTCAAGTCAAAAGTTGAACACTCCCTTTCATAGAGCAGTCCTGAAACACTCCTTTTGTAGTATCTGGAACTGGACTTTTGGAGCGCTTTCAGGGCTAAGGTGAAAAAGGAAATATCTTCCCATAAAAACTGGACAGAAGCATTCTCAGAAACTTGTTTATGCTGTATCTACTCTACTAAAAAAGTTGAACCTTTCTTTTGATAGAGCAGTTTTGAAATGCTCTTTTTGTGGAATCTGCACGTGGATATTTGGCTAGATTTGAGGATTTCGTTGGAAGCTGGAATACATACAAATTGCAGACTGCAGCGTTCTGAGAAACATCTTTGTGATGTTTGTATTCAGGACAGAGAGTTGAACATTCCCTATCATAGAGCAGGTTGGAATCACTCCTTTTGTAGTATCTGGAAGTGGACATTTGGAGCGCTTTCAGGCCTATGTTGAAAAAGGAAATATCTTCCCATAACAACTAGACACAAGCATTCTCAGAAACTTGTTTGTGATGTGTGCCCTCTACTGACAGAGTTGAACCTTTCTTTTCATAGAGCAGTTTTGAAACACTCTTTTTGTAGAATCTGCAAGAGGATATTTGCATAGCTTTGAGGATTTCGTGGGAAACGGGATTGTCTTCAGGTAAAATCTAGACAGAAGCATTCTCAGAAACTTCTTTGGGATGTTTGCATTCAAGTCACAGAGTAGAACATTCCCTTTGGTAGAGCAGGTTTGAAACACTCTTTTTGTAGTATCTGGAAGTGGACATTTGGAGCGCTTTCAGGCCTATGTTGGAAAGGGAAATATCTTCCCGTAACAACTAGGCAGAAGCATTCTCAGAAACTTATTTGAGATGTGTGTACTCAACTAAGAGAATTGAACCACCCTTGTGAAGGAGCAGTTTTGAAACACTCTTGTTCTGGAATCTGCAAGAGTATATTTGCCTAGCTTTGAGGATTCCGTTGGAAACGGGATTGTCTTCAGATCAAATCTAGACAGAAGCATTCTCAGAAACTTCTTTGGGATGTTTGCATTCAAGTCACAGAGTAGAACATTCCCTTTGGTAGAGCAGGTTTGAAACACTCTTTTTTTAGTATATGGAAGTGGACATTTGGAGCGCTTTCAGGCCTACGTTGGAAACGGAAATATCTTCCCATAACAACTAGACAGAAGCATTCTCAGAAACTAGTTTCTGATGTGTGTCCTCAACTAACACAGTTGAACATTTCTTTAGACAGAACAGTTTTGAAACACTCTTTTTGTGGAATCTGCAAGTGGCTATTTGGCTAGATTTGAGGATTTCGTTGGAAACGGGATTACATATAAAAAGCAGTCAGCAGCATTCTCAGAAACTTCTTTGTGGTGATTGCATTCAAGTCACAGAACTGAACATTCCCTTTCACAGAGCAGGTTTGAAACACTCTTTTGTAGTGTCTGTAAGTGGACATTTGGAGCGCTTTCCGGCCTCAGGAGAAAAAGGAAATATCTTCCCATAAAAACTAGACAGAAGCATTCTCAGAAACTTACTCGTGATGTGTGTCCTCAACTAAAGGAGTAGAACCTTTCTTTTCATAGGAAGTTTTGAAACGCTCTTTTTGTGGAATCTGCAAGTGGATATTTGGCTAGTTTTGAGGATTTCGTTGGAAGCGGGAATTCATACAAATTGCAGACTGCAGCGTTCTGAGAAACATCTTTGTGATGTTTGTATTCAGGACACAGAGTTGAACATTCCCTATCATAGAGCAGGTTTGAATCACTCCTTTTCTAGTATCTGGAAGTGGACATTTGGAGCGCTTTCAGGCCTATGTTGGAAAAGGAAATATCTTCCCATAACAAATAGACAGAAGCATTCTCAGAAACTTATTTGAGATGTGTGTACTCAACTAAGAGAATTGAACCACCGTTTTGAAGGAGCAGTTTTGAAACACTCTTTTTCTGGAATCTGCAAGTGGATATTTGGCTAGCTTTGGGGATTTCGCTGGAAGCGGGAATACATATAAAAAGCACACAGCAGCGTTCTGAGAAACTGCTTTCTGATGTTTGCATTCAAGTCAAAAGTTGAACACTCCCTTTCATAGAGCAGTCTTGAAACACCCCTTTTGTAGTATCTGGAACTGGACTTTTGGAGCGATTTCAGGGCTAAGGTGAAAAAGGAAATATCTTCCCATAAAAACTGGACAGAAGCATTCTCAGAAACTTGTTTATGCTGTATCTACTCAACTAACAAAGTTGAACCTTTCTTTTGATAGAGCAGTTTTGAAATGGTCTTTTTGTGGAATCTGCAAGTGGATATTTGGCTAGTTTTGAGGATTTCGTTGGAAGCGGGAATTCATACAAATTGCAGACTGCAGCGTTCTGAGAAACATCTTTGTGATGTTTGTATTCAGGACACAGAGTTGAACATTCCCTATCATAGAGCAGGTTGGAATCACTCCTTTTGTAGTATCTGGAAGTGGACATTTGGAGCGCTTTCAGGCCTATGTTGGAAAGGGAAATATCTTCCCGTAACAGCTATGCAGAAGCATTCTCAGAAACTTGTTTGTGATGTGTGCCCTCTACTGACAGAGTTGAACCTTTCTTTTCATAGAGCAGTTTTGAAACACTCTTTTTGTAGAATCTGCAAGAGGATATTTGCATAGCTTTGAGGATTTCGTGGGAAACGGGATTGTCTTCAGGTAAAATCTAGACAGAAGCATTCTCAGAAACTTCTTTGGGATGTTTGCATTCAAGTCACAGAGTAGAACATTCCCTTTGGTAGAGCAGGTTTGAAACACTCTTTTTATAGTATCTGGAAGTGGACATTTGGAGCGCTTTCAGGCCTATGTTGGAAAGGGAAATATACTTCCCGTAACAACTAGGCAGAAGCATTCTCAGAAACTTATTTGAGATGTGTGTACTCAACTAAGAGAATTGAACCACCGTTTTGAAGGAGCAGTTTTGAAACACTCTTTTTCTGGAATCTGCAAGAGTATATTTGCCTAGCCTTGAGGATTTCGTTGGAAACGGGATTGTCTTCAGAGAAAATCTAGACAGAAGCATTCTCAGAAACTTCTTTGGGATGCTTGCATTCAAGTCACAGAGTAGAACATTCCCTTTGGTAGAGCAGGTTTGAAACACTCTTTTTGTAGTATCTGGAAGTGGACATTTGGAGCGCTTTCAGGCCTACGTTGGAAAAGGAAATATCTTCCCATAACAACTAGACAGAAGCATTCTCAGAAACTAGTTTCTGATGTGTGTCCTCAACTAACACAGTTGAACATTTCTTTAGACAGAACAGTTTTGAAACACTCTTTTTGTGGAATCTGCAAGTGGCTATTTGGCTAGATTTGAGGATTTCGTTGGAAACGGGATTACATATAAAAAGCAGTCAGCGGCATTCTCAGAAAGTTCTTTGTGATGATTGCATTCAAGTCACAGAATTGAACATTCCCTTTCACAGAGCAGGTTTGAAACACTCTTTTTGTAGTGTGTGTAAGTGGACATTTGGAGCACTTACCGGCCTAAGGTGAAAAAGGAAATATCTTCCCATAAAAACTAGACAGAAGCATTCTCAGAAACTTACTCGTGATGTGTGTCCTCAACTAAAGGAGTAGAACCTTTCTTTTCATAGAGAAGTTTTGAAACGCTCTTTTTGTGGAATCTGCAAGTGGATATTTGGCTAGTTTTGAGGATTTCGTTGGAAGCGGGAATTCATACAAATTGCAGACTGCAGCGTTCTGAGAAACATCTTTGTGATGTTTGTATTCAGGACACAGAGATGAACATTCCCTATCATAGAGCAGGTTGGAATCACTCCTTTTGTAGTATCTGGAAGTGGACATTTGGAGCGCTTTCAGGCCTATGTTGAAAAAGGAAATATCTTCCCATAACAACTAGACACAAGCATTCTCAGAAACTTATTTGAGATGTGTGTACTCAACTAAGAGAATTGAACCACCGTTTTGAAGGAGCAGTTTTGAAACTCTCTTTTTCTGGAATCTGCAAGTGGATATTTGGCTAGCTTTGGGGATTTCGCTGGAAGCGGGAATACATATAAAAAGCACACAGCAGCGTTCTGAGAAACTGCTTTCTGATGTTTGCATTCAAGTCAAAAGTTGAACACTCCCTTTCATAGAGCAGTCTTGAAACACCCCTTTTGTAGTATCTGGAACTGGACTTTTGGAGCGATTTCAGGGCTAAGGTGAAAAAGGAAATATCTTCCCATAAAAACTGGACAGAAGCATTCTCAGAAACTTGGTTATGCTGTATCTACTCAACTAACAAAGTTGAACCTTTCTTTTGATAGAGCAGTTTTGAAATGGTCTTTTTGTGGAATCTGCAAGTGGATATTTGGCTAGTTTTGAGGATTTCGTTGGAAGCGGGAATTCATACAAATTGCAGACTGCAGCGTTCTGAGAAACATCTTTGTGATGTTTGTATTCAGGACACAGAGTTGAACATTCCCTATCATAGAGCAGGTTGGAATCACTCCTTTTGTAGTATCTGGAAGTGGACATTTGGAGCGCTTTCAGGCCTATTTTGGAAAGGGAAATATCTTCCCGTAACAACTATGCAGAAGCATTCTCAGAAACTTGTTTGTGATGTGTGCCCTCTACTGACAGAGTTGAACCTTTCTTTTCATAGAGCAGTTTTGAAACACTCTTTTTGTAGAATCTGCAAGAGGATATTTGCATAGCTTTGAGGATTTCGTGGGAAACGGGATTGTCTTCAGGTAAAATCTAGACAGAAGCATTCTCAGAAACTTCTTTGGGATGTTTGCATTCAAGTCACAGAGTAGAACATTCCCTTTGGTAGAGCAGGTTTGAAACACTCTTTTTGTAGTATCTGGAAGTGGACATTTGGAGCGCTTTCAGGCCCATGTTGGAAAGGGAAATATCTTCCCGTAACAACTAGGCAGAAGCATTCTCAGAAACTTATTTGAGATGTGTGTACTCAACTAAGAGAACTGAACCACCGTTTTGAAGGAGCAGTTTTGAAACACTCTTTTTCTGGAATCTGCAAGAGAATATTTGCCTAGACTTGAGGATTTCGTTGGAAACGGGATTGTCTTCAGATAAAATCTAGACAGAAGCATTCTCAGAAACTTCTTTGGGATGCTTGCATTCAAGTCACAGAGTAGAACATTCCCTTTGGTAGAGCAGGTTTGAAACACTCTTTTTTTAGTATATGGAAGTGGACATTTGGAGCGCTTTCAGGCCTACGTTGGAAAAGGAAATATCTTCCCATAACAACTAGACAGAAGCATTCTCAGAAACTAGTTTCTGATGTGTGTCCTCAACTAACACAGTTGTACATTTCTTTAGACAGAACAGTTTTGAAACACTCTTTTTGTGGAATCTGCAAGTGGATATTGGGCTAGATTTGAGGATTTCGTTGGAAACGGGATTACATATAAAAAGCAGTCAGCAGCATTCTCAGAAAGTTCTTTGTGATGATTGCATTCAAGTCACAGAATTGAACATTCCCTTTCACAGAGCAGGTTTGAAACACTCTTTTTGTAGTGTGTGTAAGTGGACATTTGGAGCGCTTTCCGGCCTAAGGTGAAAAAGGAAATATCTTCCCATAAAAACTAGACAGAAGCTTTCTCAGAAACTTACTCGTGATGTGTGTCCTCAACTAAAGGAGTAGAACCTTTCTATTCATAGAGAAGTTTTGAAACGCTCTTTTTGTGGAATCTCCAAGTGGATATTTGGCTAGTGTTGAGGATTTCGTTGGAAGCGGGAATTCATACAAATTGCAGACTGCAGCGTTCTGAGAAACATCTTTGTGATGTTTGTATTCAGGACACAGAGATGAACATTCCCTATCATAGAGCAGGTTGGAATCACTCCTTTTGTAGTATCTGGAAGTGGACATTTGGAGCGCTTTCAGGCCTATGTTGAAAAAGGAAATATCTTCCCATAACAACTAGACACAAGCATTCTCAGAAACTTATTTGAGATGTGTGTACTCAACTAAGAGAATTGAACCACCGTTTTGAAGGAGCAGTTTTGAAACTCTCTTTTTCTGGAATCTGCAAGTGGATATTTGGCTAGCTTTGGGGATTTCGCTGGAAGCGGGAATACATATAAAAAGCACACAGCAGCGTTCTGAGAAACTGCTTTCTGATGTTTGCATTCAAGTCAAAAGTTGAACACTCCCTTTCATAGAGCAGTCCTGAAACACCCCTTTTGTAGTATCTGGAACTGGACTTTTGGAGCGATTTCAGGGCTAAGGTGAAAAAGGAAATATCTTCCCATAAAAACTGGACAGAAGCATTCTCAGAAACTTGTTTATGCTGTATCTACTCAACTAACAAAGTTGAACCTTTCTTTTGATAGAGCAGTTTTGAAATGGTCTTTTTGTGGAATCTGCAAGTGGATATTTGGCTAGTTTTGAGGATTTCGTTGGAAGCGGGAATTCATACAAATTGCAGACTGCAGCATTCTGAGAAACATCTTTGTGATGTTTGTATTCAGGACACAGAGTTGAACATTCCCTATCATAGAGCAGGTTGGAATCACTCCTTTTGTAGTATCTGGAAGTGGACATTTGGAGCGCTTTCAGGCCTATTTTGGAAAGGGAAATATCTTCCCGTAACAACTATGCAGAAGCATTCTCAGAAACTTGTTTGTGATGTGTGCCCTCTACTGACAGAGTTGAACCTTTCTTTTCATAGAGCAGTTTTGAAACACTCTTTTTGTAGAATCTGCAAGAGGATATTTGCATAGCTTTGAGGATTTCGTGGGAAACGGGATTGTCTTCAGGTAAAATCTAGACAGAAGCATTCTCAGAAACTTCTTTGGGATGTTTGCATTCAAGTCACAGAGCAGAACATTCCCTTTGGTAGAGCAGGTTTGAAACACTCTTTTTGTAGTATCTGGAAGTGGACATTTGGAGCGCTTTCAGGCCTATGTTGGAAAGGGAAATATCTTCCCGTAACAACTAGGCAGAAGCATTCTCAGAAACTTATTTGAGATGTGTGTACTCAACTAAGAGAATTGAACCACCGTTTTGAAGGAGCAGTTTTGAAACACTCTTTTTCTGGAATCTGCAAGAGGATATTTGCCTAGCCTTGAGGATTTCGTTGGAAACGGGATTGTCTTCAGATCAAATCTAGACAGAAGCATTCTCAGAAACTTCTTTGGGATGTTTGCATTCAAGTCACAGAGTAGAACATTCCCTTTGGCAGAGCAGGTTTGAAACACTCTTTTTTTAGTATATGGAAGTGGACATTTGGAGCGCTTTCAGGCCTACGTTGGAAAAGGAAATATCTTCCCATAACAACTAGACAGAAGCATTCTCAGAAACTAGTTTCTGATGTGTGTCCTCAACTAACACAGTTGAACTTTTCTTTAGACAGAACAGTTTTGAAACACTCTTTTTGTGGAATCTGCAAGTGGATATTGGGCTAGATTTGAGGATTTCGTTGGAAACGGGATTACATATAAAAAGCAGACAGCAGCATTCTCAGAAAGTTCTTTGTGATGATTGCATTCAAGTCACAGAATTGAACATTCCCTTTCACAGAGCAGGTTTGAAACACTCTTTTTGTAGTGTGTGTAAGTGGACATTTGGAGCGCTTTCCGGCCTAAGGTGAAAAAGGACATATCTTCCCATAAAAACTAGACAGAAGCATTCTCAGAAACTTACTCGTGATGTGTGTCCTCAAATAAAGGAGTAGAACATTTCTATTCATAGAGAAGTTTTGAAACGCTCTTTTTGTGGAATCTCCAAGTGGATATTTGGCTAGTTTTGAGGATTTCGTTGGAAGCGGGAATTCATCCAAATTGCAGACTGCAGCGTTCTGAGAAACATCTTTGTGATGTTTGTATTCAGGACACAGAGATGAACATTCCCTATCATAGAGCAGGTTGGAATCACTCCTTTTGTAGTATCTGGAAGTGGACATTTGGAGCGCTTTCAGGCCTATGTTGAAAAAGGAAATATCTTCCCATAACAACTAGACACAAGCATTCTCAGAAACTTATTTGAGATGTGTGTACTCAACTAAGAGAATTGAACCACCGTTTTGAAGGAGCAGTTTTGAAACACTCTTTTTCTGGAATCTGCAAGTGGATATTTGGCTAGCTTTGGGGATTTCGCTGGAAGCGGGAATACATATAAAAAGCACACAGCAGCGTTCTGAGAAACTGCTTTCTGATGTTTGCATTCAAGTCAAAAGTTGAACACTCCCTTTCATAGAGCAGTCTTGAAACACCCCTTTTGTAGTATCTGGAAGTGGACATTTGGAGCGCTTTCAGGGCTAAGGTGAAAAAGGAAATATCTTCCCATAAAAACTGGACAGAAGCATTCTCAGAAACTTGTTTATGCTGTATCTACTCTACTAACAAAGTTGAACCTTTCTTTTGATAGAGCAGTTTTGAAATGCTCTTTTTGTGGAATCTGCAAGTGGATATTTGGCTAGTTTTGAGGATTTCGTTGGAAGCTGGAATTCATGCAAATTGCAGACTGCAAGCGTTCTGAGAAACATCTTTGTGATGTTTGTATTCAGGACAGAGAGTTGAACATTCCCTATCATAGAGCAGGTTGGAATCACTCCTTTTGTAGTATCTGGAAGTGGACATTTGGAGCACTTTCCGGCCTAAGGTGAAAAAGGAAATATCTTCCCATAACAACTAGACACAAGCATTCTCAGAAACTTACTCGTGATGTGTGTCCTCCACTAAATGAGTAGAACCTTTCTTTTCATAGAGAAGTTTTGAAACGCTCTTTTTGTAGAATCTGCAAGAGGATATTTGCATAGCTTTGAGGATTTCGTGGGAAACGGGATTGTCTTCAGGTAAAATCTAGACAGAAGCATTCTCAGAAACTTCTTTGGGATGTTTGCATTCAAGTCACAGAGTAGAACATTCCCTTTGGTAGAGCAGGTTTGAAACACTCTTTTTATAGTATCTGGAAGTGGACATTTGGAGCGCTTTCAGGCCTATGTTGGAAAGGGAAATATCTTCCCGTAACAACTAGGCAGAAGCATTCTCAGAAACTTATTTGAGATGTGTGTACTCAACTAAGAGAATTGAACCACCGTTTTGAAGGAGCAGTTTTGAAACACTCTTTTTCTGGAATCTGCAAGAGGATATTTGCCTAGCTTTGAGGATTTCGTTGGAAACGGGATTGTCTTCAGATCAAATCTAGACAGAAGCATTCTCAGAAACTTCTTTGGGATGTTTGCATTCAAGTCACAGAGTAGAACATTCCCTTTGGTAGAGCAGGTTTGAAACACTCTTTTTTTAGTATATGGAAGTGGACATTTGGAGCGCTTTCAGGCCTACGTTGGAAAAGGAAATATCTTCCCATAACAATTAGACAGAAGCATTCTCAGAAACTAGTTTCTGATGTGTGTCCTCAACTAACACAGTTGAACATTTCTTTAGACAGAACAGTTTTGAAACTCTATTTTTGTGGAATCTGCAAGTGGCTATTTGGCTAGATTTGAGGATTTCGTTGGAAACGGGATTACATATAAAAAGCAGACAGCAGCATTCTCAGAACGTTCTTTGTGATGATTGCATTCAAGTCACAGAATTGAACATTCCCTTTCACAGAGCAGGTTTGAAACACTCTTTTTGTAGTGTGTGTAAGTGGACATTTGGAGCACTTTCCGGCCTAAGGTGAAAAAGGAAATATCTTCCCATAAAAACTAGACAGAAGCATTCTCAGAAACTTACTCGTGATGTGTGTCCTCAACTAAAGGAGTAGAACCTTTCTTTTCATAGAGAAGTTTTGAAACGCTCTTTTTGTGGAATCTGCAAGTGGATATTTGGCTAGTTTTGAGGATTTCGTTGGAAGCGGGAATTCATACAAATTGCAGACTGCAGCTTTCTGAGAAACATCTTTGTGATGTTTGTATTCAGGACACAGAGTTGAACATTCCCTATCATAGAGCAGGTTTGAATCACTCCTTTTGTAGTATCTGGAAGTGGACATTTGGAGCGCTTTCAAGCCTATGTTGGAAAAGGAAATATCTTCCCATAACAACTAGACAGAAGCATTCTCAGAAACTTATTTGAGATGTGTGTACTCAACTAAGAGAATTGAACCACCGTTTTGAAGGAGCAGTTTTGAAACACTCTTTTTCTGGAATCTGCAAGTGGATATTTGGCTAGCTTTGGGGATTTCGCTGGAAGCGGGAATACATATAAAAAGCCCACAGCAGCGTTCTGAGAAACTGCTTTCTGATGTTTGCATTCAAGTCAAAAGTTGAACACTCCCTTTCATAGTGCAGTCCTGAAACACTCCTTTTGTAGTATCTGGAACTGGACTTTTGGAGCGCTTTCAGGGCTAAGGTGAAAAAGGAAATATCTTCCCATAAAAACTGGACAGAAGCATTCTCAGAAACTTGTTTATGCTGTATCTACTCAACTAACAAAGTTGAACCTTTCTTTTGATAGAGCAGTTTTGAAATGCTCTTTTTGTGGAATCTGCAAGTGGATATTTGGCTAGTTTTGAGGATTTCGTTGGAAGCGGGAATTCATACAAATTGCAGACTGCAGCGTTCTGAGAAACATCTTTGTGATGTTTGTATTCAGGACAGAGAGTTGAACATTCCCTATCATAGAGCAGGTTGGAATCACTCCTTTTGTAGTATCTGGAAGTGGACATTTGGAGCGCTTTCAGGCCTATGTTGAAAAAGGAAATATCTTCCCATAACAACTAGACACAAGCATTCTCAGAAACTTGTTTGTGATGTGTGCCCTCTACTGACAGAGTTGAACCTTTCTTTTCATAGAGCAGTTTTGAAACACTCTTTTTGTAGAATCTGCAAGAGGATATTTGCATAGCTTTGAGGATTTCGTGGGAAACGGGATTGTCTTCAGGTAAAATCTAGACAGAAGCATTCTCAGAAACTTCTTTGGGATGTTTGCATTCAAGTCACAGAGTAGAACATTCCCTTTGGTAGAGCAGGTTTGAAACACTCTTTTTATAGTATCTGGAAGTGGACATTTGGAGCGCTTTCAGGCCTATGTTGGAAAGGGAAATATCTTCCCGTAACAACTAGGCAGAAGCATTCTCAGAAACTTATTTGAGATGTGTGAACTCAACTAAGAGAATTGAACCACCGTTTTGAAGGAGCAGTTTTGAAACACTCTTTTTCTGGAATCTGCAAGAGGATATTTGCCTAGCTCTTGAGGATTTCGTTGGAAACGGGATTGTCTTCAGATACAAATCTCAGACAGAAGCATTCTCAGAAACTTCTTTGGGATGTTTGCATTCAAGTCACAGAGTAGAACATTCCCTTTGGTAGAGCAGGTTTGAAACACTCTTTTTTTAGTATATGGAAGTGGACATTTGGAGCGCTTTCAGGCCTACGTTGGAAAAGGAAATATCTTCCCATAACAATTAGACAGAAGCATTCTCAGAAACTAGTTTCTGATGTGTGTCCTCAACTAACACAGTTGAACATTTCTTTAGACAGAACAGTTTTGAAACTCTCTTTTTGTGGAATCTGCAAGTGGCTATTTGGCTAGATTTGAGGATTTCGTTGGAAACGGGATTACATATAAAAAGCAGACAGCAGCATTCTCAGAAAGTTCTTTGTGATGATTGCATTCAAGTCACAGAATTGAACATTCCCTTTCACAGAGCAGGTTTGAAACACTCTTTTTGTAGTGTGTGTAAGTGGACATTTGGAGCACTTTCCGGCCTAAGGTGAGAAAGGAAATATCTTCCCATAAAAACTAGACAGAAGCATTCTCAGAAACTTACTCGTGATGTGTGTCCTCAACTAAAGGAGTAGAACCTTTCTTTTCATAGAGAAGTTTTGAAACGCTCTTTTTGTGGAATCTGCAAGTGGATATTTGGCTAGTTTGGAGGATTTCGTTGGAAGCGGGAATTCATACAAATTGCAGACTGCAGCGTTCTGAGAAACATCTTTGTGATGTTTGTATTCAGGACACAGAGTTGAACATTCCCTATCATAGAGCAGGTTTGAATCACTCCTTTTGTAGTATCTGGAAGTGGACATTTGGAGCGCTTTCAGGCCTATGTTGGAAAAGGAAATATCTTCCCATAACAACTAGACAGAAGCATTCTCAGAAACTTATTTGAGATGTGTGTACTCAACTAAGAGAATTGAACCACCGTTTTGAAGGAGCAGTTTTGAAACACTCTTTTTCTGGAATCTGCAAGTGGACATTTGGCTAGCTTTGGGGATTTCGCTGGAAGCGGGAATACATATAAAAAGCACACAGCAGCGTTCTGAGAAACTGCTTTGTGATGTTTGCATTCAAGTCAAAAGTTGAACACTCCCTTTCATAGAGCAGTCCTGAAACACTCCTTTTGTAGTATCTGGAACTGGACTTTTGGAGCGCTTTCAGGGCTAAGGTGAAAAAGGAAATATCTTCCCATAAAAACTGGACAGAAGCATTGCTCAGAAACTTATTTGAGATGTGTGTACTCAACTAAGAGAATTGAACCACCGTTTTGAAGGAGCAGTTTTGAAACTCTCTTTTTCTGGAATCTGCAAGTGGATATTTGGCTAGCTTTGGGGATTTCGCTGGAAGCGGGAATACATATAAAAAGCACACAGCAGCGTTCTGAGAAACTGCTTTCTGATGTTTGCATTCAAGTCAAAAGTTGAACACTCCCTTTCATAGAGCAGTCCTGAAACACCCCTTTTGTAGTATCTGGAACTGGACTTTTGGAGCGATTTCAGGGCTAAGGTGAAAAAGGAAATATCTTCCCATAAAAACTGGACAGAAGCATTCTCAGAAACTTGGTTATGCTGTATCTACTCAACTAACAAAGTTGAACCTTTCTTTTGATAGAGCAGTTTTGAAATGGTCTTTTTGTGGAATCTGCAAGTGGATATTTGGCTAGTTTTGAGGATTTCGTTGGAAGCGGGAATTCATACAAATTGCAGACTGCAGCGTTCTGAGAAACATCTTTGTGATGTTTGTATTCAGGACACAGAGTTGAACATTCCCTATCATAGAGCAGGTTGGAATCACTCCTTTTGTAGTATCTGGAAGTGGACATTTGGAGCGCTTTCAGGCCTATTTTGGAAAGGGAAATATCTTCCCGTAACAACTATGCAGAAGCATTCTCAGAAACTTGTTTGTGATGTGTGCCCTCTACTGACAGAGTTGAACCTTTCTTTTCATAGAGCAGTTTTGAAACACTCTTTTTGTAGAATCTGCAAGAGGATATTTGCATAGCTTTGAGGATTTCGTGGGAAACGGGATTGTCTTCAGGTAAAATCTAGACAGAAGCATTCTCAGAAACTTCTTTGGGATGTTTGCATTCAAGTCACAGAGTAGAACATTCCCTTTGGTAGAGCAGGTTTGAAACACTCTTTTTGTAGTATCTGGAAGTGGACATTTGGAGCGCTTTCAGGCCCATGTTGGAAAGGGAAATATCTTCCCGTAACAACTAGGCAGAAGCATTCTCAGAAACTTATTTGAGATGTGTGTACTCAACTAAGAGAATTGAACCACCGTTTTGAAGGAGCAGTTTTGAAACACTCTTTTTCTGGAATCTGCAAGAGTATATTTGCCTAGCCTTGAGGATTTCGTTGGAAACGGGATTGTCTTCAGAGAAAATCTAGACAGAAGCATTCTCAGAAACTTCTTTGGGATGTTTGCATTCAAGTCACAGAGTAGAACATTCCCTTTGGTAGAGCAGGTTTGAAACACTCTTTTTGTAGTATCTGGAAGTGGACATTTGGAGCGCTTTCAGGCCTACGTTGGAAAAGGAAATATCTTCCCATAACAACTAGACAGAAGCATTCTCAGAAACTAGTTTCTGATGTGTGTCCTCAACTAACACAGTTGAACATTTCTTTAGACAGAACAGTTTTGAAACACTCTTTTTGTGGAATCTGCAAGTGGATATTTGGCTAGATTTGAGGATTTCGTTGGAAACGGGATTACATATAAATAGCAGACAGCAGCATTCTCAGAAACTTCTTTGTGATGATTGCATTCAAGTCACAGAATTGAACATTCCCTTTCACAGAGCAGGTTTGAAACACTCTTTTTGTAGTGTGTGTAAGTGGACATTTGGAGCGCTTTCCTGCCTAAGGTGAACAAGGAAATATCTTGCCATAAAAACTAGACAGAAGCATTCTCAGAAACTTACTCGTGATGTGTGTCCTCAACTAAAGGAGTAGAACCTTTCTTTTCATAGAGAAGTTTTGAAACGCTCTTTTTGTGGAATCTGCAAGTGGATATTTGGCTAGTTTGGAGGATTTCGTTGGAAGCGGGAATTCATACAAATTGCAGACTGCAGCGTTCTGAGAAACATCTTTGTGATGTTTGTATTCAGGACACAGAGTTGAACATTCCCTATCATAGAGCAGGTTTGAATCACTCCTTTTGTAGTATCTGGAAGTGGACATTTGGAGCGCTTTCAGGCCTATGTTGGAAAAGGAAATATCTTCCCATAACAACTAGACAGAAGCATTCTCAGAAACTTATTTGAGATGTGTGTACTCAACTAAGAGAATTGAACCACCGTTTTGAAGGAGCAGTTTTGAAACACTCTTTTTCTGGAATCTGCAAGTGGATATTTGGCTAGCTTTGGGGATTTCGCTGGAAGCGGGAATACATATAAAAAGCACACAGCAGCGTTCTGAGAAACTGCTTTCTGATGTTTGCATTCAAGTCAAAAGTTGAACACTCCCTTTCATAGAGCAGTCTTGAAACACCCCTTTTGTAGTATCTGGAACTGGACATTTGGAGCGCTTTCAGGGCTAAGGTGAAAAAGGAAATATCTTCCCATAAAAACTGGACAGAAGCATTCTCAGAAACTTGTTTATGCTGTATCTACTCTACTAACAAAGTTGAACCTTTCTTTTGATAGAGCAGTTTTGAAATGCTCTTTTTGTGGAATCTGCAAGTGGATATTTGGCTAGTTTTGAGGATTTCGTTGGAAGCTGGAATTCATGCAAATTGCAGACTGCAGCGTTCTGAGAAACATCTTTGTGATGTTTGTATTCAGGACACAGAGTTGAACATTCCCTATCATAGAGCAGGTTGGAATCACTCCTTTTGTAGTATCTGGAAGTGGACATTTGGAGCGCTTTCAGGCCTATTTTGGAAAGGGAAATATCTTCCCGTAACAACTAGGCAGAAGCATTCTCAGAAACTTATTTGAGATGTGTGTACTCAACTAAGAGAATTGAACCACCGTTTTGAAGGAGCAGATTTGAAACACTCTTTTTCTGGAATCTGCAAGAGTATATTTGCCTAGCCTTGAAGATTTCGTTGGAAACGGGATTGTCTTCAGATAAAATCTAGACAGAAGCCTTCTCAGAAACTTCTTTGGGATGTTTGCATTCAAGTCACAGAGTAGAACATTCCCTTTGGTAGAGCAGGTTTGAAACACTCTTTTTTTAGTATATGGAAGTGGACATTTGGAGCGCTTTCAGGCCTACGTTGGAAAAGGAAATATCTTCCCATAGCAACTAGACAGAAGCATTCTCAGAAACTAGTTTCTGATATGTGTCCTCAACTAACACAGTTGAACTTTTCTTTAGACAGAACAGTTTTGAAACACTCTTTTTGTGGAATCTGCAAGTGGATAATTGGCTAGATTTGAGGATTTCGTTGGAAACGGGATTACATATAAAAAACAGTCAGCAGCATTCTCAGAAAGTTCTTTGTGATGATTGCATTCAAGTCACAGAATTGAACATTCCCTTTCACAGAGCAGGTTTGAAACACTCTTTTTGTAGTGTGTGTAAGTGGACATTTGGAGCGCTTTCCGGCCTAAGGTGAAAAAGGAAATATCTTCCCATAAAAACTAGACAGAAGCATTCTCAGAAACTTACTCGTGATGTGTGTCCTCAACTAAAGGAGTAGAACCTTTCTATTCATAGAGAAGTTTTGAAACGCTCTTTTTGTGGAATCTCCAAGTGGATATTTGGCTAGTTTTGAGGATTTCGTTGGAAGCGGGAATTCATCCAAATTGCAGACTGCAGCGTTCTGAGAAACATCTTTGTGATGTTTGTATTCAGGACACAGAGATGAACATTCCCTATCATAGAGCAGGTTGGAATCACTCCTTTTGTAGTATCTGGAAGTGGACATTTGGAGCGCTTTCAGGCCTATGTTGAAAAAGGAAATATCTTCCCATAACAACTAGACACAAGCATTCTCAGAAACTTATTTGAGATGTGTGTACTCAACTAAGAGAATTGAACCACCGTTTTGAAGGAGCAGTTTTGAAACACTCTTTTTCTGGAATCTGCAATTGGATATTTGGCTAGCTTTGGGGATTTCGCTGGAAGCGGGAATACATATAAAAAGCACACAGCAGCGTTCTGAGAAACTTCTTTCTGATGTTCGCATTCAAGTCAAAAGTTGAACACTCCCTTTCATAGAGCAGTCTTGAAACTCCCCTTTTGTGGTATCTGGAAGTGGACATTTGGAGTGCTTTCAGGGCTAAGGTGAAAAAGGAAATATCTTCCCATAAAAACTGGACAGAAGCATTCTCAGAAACTTGTTTATGCTGTATCTACTCAGCTAACAAAGTTGAACCTTTCTTTTGATAGAGCAGTTTTGAAATGCTCTTTTTGTGGAGTCTGCAAGTGGATATTTGGTTAGTTTTGAGGAATTCGTTGGAAGCGGGAATTCATACAAATTGCAGACTGCAGCGTTCTGAGAAACATCTTTGTGATGTTTGTATTCAGGACACTGAGTTGAACATTCCCTATCATAGAGCAGGTTTGAATCACTCCTTTTGTAGTATCTGGAAGTGGACATTTGGAGCGCTTTCAGGCCTATGTTGGAAAAGGAAATATCTTCCCATAACAACTAGACAGAAGCATTCTCAGAAACTTATTTGAGATGTGTGTACTCAACTAAGAGAATTGAACCACCGTTTTGAAGGAGCAGTTTTGAAACACTCTTTTTCTGGAATCTGCAAGTGGATATTTGGCTAGCTTTGGGGATTTCGCTGGAAGCGGGAATACATATAAAAAGCACACAGCAGCGTTCTGAGAAACTGCTTTCTGATGTTTGCATTCAAGTCAAAAGTTGAACACTCCCTTTCATAGAGCAGTCCTGAAACACTCCTTTTGTAGTATCTGGAACTGGACTTTTGGAGCGCTTTCAGGGCTAAGGTGAAAAAGGAAATATCTTCCCATAAAAACTGGACAGAAGCATTCTCAGAAACTTACTCGTATTGTGTGTCCTCAACTAAAGGAGTAGAACCTTTCTTTTCATAGAGAAGTTTTGAAACGCTCTTTTTGTGGAATCTGCAAGTGGATATTTGGCTAGTTTTGAGGATTTCGTTGGAAGCGGGAATTCATACAAATTGCAGACTGCAGCGTTCTGAGAAACTGCTTTCTGATGTTTGCATTCAAGTCAAAAGTTGAACACTCCCTTTCATAGAGCAGTCTTGAAACACCCCTTTTGTAGTATCTGGAACTGGACATTTGGAGCGCTTTCAGGGCTAAGGTGAAAAAGGAAATATCTTCCCATAAAAACTGGACAGAAGCATTCTCAGAAACTTGTTTATGCTGTATCTACTCAACTAACAAAGTTGAACCTTTCTTTTGATAGAGCAGTTTTGAAATGCTCTTTTTGTGGAATCTGCAAGTGGATATTTGGCTAGGTTTGAGGATTTCGTTGGAAGCGGGAATTCATACAAATTGCAGACTGCAGCGTTCTGAGAAACATCTTTGTGATGTTTGTATTCAGGACACAGAGTTGAACATTCCCTATCATAGAGGAGGTTGGAATCACTCCTTTTGTAGTATCTGGAAGTGGACATTTGGAGCGCTTTCAGGCCTATGTTGAAAAAGGAAATATCTTCCCATAACAAGTAGACACAAGCATTCTCAGAAACTTGTTTGTGATGTGTGCCCTCTACTGACAGAGTTGAACCTTTCTTTTCATAGAGCAGTTTTGAAACACTCTTTTTGTAGAATCTGCAAGAGGATATTTGCATAGCTTTGAGGATTTCGTGGGAAACGGGATTGTCTTCAGGTAAAATCTAGACAGAAGCATTCTCAGAAAATTCTTCGGGATGTTTGCATTCAAGTCACAGAGTAGAACATTCCCTTTGGTAGAGCAGGTTTGAAACACTCTTTTTGTAGTATCTGGAAGTGGACATTTGGAGCGCTTTCAGGCCTATGTTGGAAAGGGAAATATCTTCCCGTAACAACTAGGCAGAAGCATTCTCAGAAACTTATTTGAGATGTGTGTACTGAACTAAGAGAATTGAACCACCGTTTTGAAGGAGCAGGTTTGAAACACTCTTTTTGTAGTATCTGGAAGTGGACATTTGGAGCGCTTTCAGGCCTATGTTGGAAAGGGAAATATCTTCCCGTAACAACTAGGCAGAAGCATTCTCAGAAACTTATTTGAGATGTGTGTACTCAACTAAGAGAATTGAACCACCGTTTTGAAGGAGCAGTTTTGAAACACTCTTTTTCTGGAATCTGCAAGAGGATATTTGCATAGATTTGAGGATTTCGTTGGAAACGGGATTGTCTTCAGATCCAATCTAGACAGAAGCATTCTCAGAAACTTCTTTGGGATGTTTGCATTCAAGTCACAGTAGTAGAACATTCCCTTTGGTAGAGCAGGTTTGAAACACTCTTTTTTTAGTATATGGAAGTGGACATTTGGAGCGCTTTCAGGCCTACGTTGGAAAAGGAAATATCTTCCCATAACAAATAGACAGAAGCATTCTCAGAAACTAGTTTCTGATGTGTGTCCTCAACTAACACAGTTGAACATTTCTTTAGACAGAACAGTTTTGAAACACTCTCTTTGTGGAATCTGCAAGTGGATATTTGGCTAGATTTGAGGATTTCGTTGGAAACGGGATTACATATAAAAAGCAGACAGCGGCATTCTCAGAAAGTTCTTTGTGATGATTGCATTCAAGTCACAGAATTGAACATTCCCTTTCACAGAGCAGGTTTGAAACACTCTTTTTGTAGTGTGTGTAAGTGGACATTTGGAGCACTTACCGGCCTAAGGTGAAAAAGGAAATATCTTCCCATAAAAACTAGACAGAAGCATTCTCAGAAACTTACTCGTGATGTGTGTCCTCAACTAAAGGAGTAGAACCTTTCTTTTCATAGAGAAGTTTTGAAACGCTCTTTTTGTGGAATCTGCAAGTGGATATTTGGCTAGTTTTGAGGATTTCGTTGGAAGCGGGAATTCATACAAATTGCAGACTGCAGCGTTCTGAGAAACATCTTTCTGATGTTTGTATTCAGGACACAGAGTTGAACATTCCCTATCATAGAGCAGGTTTGAATCACTCCTTTTGTAGTATCTGGAAGTGGACATTTGGAGCGCTTTCAGGCCTATGTTGGAAAAGGAAATATCTTCCCATAACAACTAGACAGAAGCATTCTCAGAAACTTATTTGAGATGTGTGTACTCAACTAAGAGAATTGAACCACCGTTTTGAAGGAGCAGTTTTGAAACACTCTTTTTCTGGAATCTGCAAGTGGTATTTGGCTAGCTTTGGGGATTTCGCTGGAAGCGGGAATACATATAAAAAGCACACAGCAGCGTTCTGAGAAACTGCTTTCTGATGTTTGCATTCAAGTCAAAAGTTGAACACTCCCTTTCATAGAGCAGTCCTGAAACACTCCTTTTGTAGTATCTGGAACTGGACTTTTGGAGCGCTTTCAGGGCTAAGGTGAAAAAGGAAATATCTTCCCATAAAAACTGGACAGAAGCATTCTCAGAAACTTGTTTATGCTGTAACTACTCAGCTAACAAGTTGAACCTTTCTTTTGATAGAGCAGTTTTGAAATGCTCTTTTTGTGGAGTCTGCAAGTGGATATTGGGTTAGTTTTGAGGAATTCGTTGGAAGCGGGAATTCATACAAATTGCAGACTGCAGCGTTCTGAGAAACATCTTTGTGATGTTTGTATTCAGGACACAGAGATGAACATTACCTATCATAGAGCAGGTTGGAATCACTCCTTTTGTAGTATCTGGAAGTGGACATTTGGAGCGCTTTCAGGCCTATGTTGAAAAAGGAAATATCTTCCCATAACAACTAGACACAAGCATTCTCAGAAACTTGTTTGTGATGTGTGCCCTCTACTGACAGAGTTGAACCTTTCTTTTCATAGAGCAGTTTTGAAACACTCTTTTTGTAGAATCTGCAAGAGGATATTTGCATAGCTTTGAGGATTTCGTGGGAAACGGGATTGTCTTCAGGTAAAATCTAGACAGAAGCATTCTCAGAAACTTCTTTGGGATGTTTGCATTCAAGTCACAGAGTAGAACATTCCCTTTGGTAGAGCAGGTTTGAAACCCTCTTTTTGTAGTATCTGGAAGTGGACATTTGGAGCACTTTCAGGCCCATGTTGGAAAGGGAAATATCTTCCCGTAACAACTAGGCAGAAGCATTCTCAGAAACTTATTTGAGATGTGTGTACTCAACTAAGAGAATTGAACCACCGTTTTGAAGGAGCAGTTTTGAAACACTCTTTTTCTGGAATCTGCAAGAGTATATTTGCCTAGCCTTGAGGATTTCGTTGGAAACGGGATTGTCTTCAGATAAAATCTAGACAGAAGCATTCTCAGAAACTTCTTTGGGATGTTTGCATTCAAGTCACAGAGTAGAACATTCCCTTTGGTAGAGCAGGTTTGAAACACTCTTTTTTTAGTATATGGAAGTGGACATTTGGAGCGCTTTCAGGCCTACGTTGGAAAAGGAAATATCTTCCCATAACAACTAGACAGAAGCATTCTCAGAAACTAGTTTCTGATGTGTGTCCTCAACTAACACAGTTGTACATTTCTTTAGACAGAACAGTTTTGAAACACTCTTTTTGTGGAATCTGCAAGTGGCTATTTGGCTAGATTTGAGGATTTCGTTGGAAACGGGATTACATATAAAAAGCAGACAGCAGCATTCTCAGAAAGTTCTTTGTGATGATTGCATTCAAGTCACAGAATTGAACATTCCCTTTCACAGAGCAGGTTTGAAACACTCTTTTTGTAGTGTGTGTAAGTGGACATTTGGAGCACTTTCCGGCCTAAGGTGAAAAAGGAAATATCTTCCCATAAAAACTAGACAGAAGCATTCTCAGAAACTTACTCGTGATGTGTGTCCTCAACTAAAGGAGTAGAACCTTTCTTTTCATAGAGAAGTTTTGAAACGCTCTTTTTGTGGAATCTGCAAGTGGATATTTGGCTAGTTTTGAGGATTTCGTTGGAAGCGGGAATTCATACAAATTGCAGACTGCAGCGTTCTGAGAAACATCTTTGTGATGTTTGTATTCAGGACACAGAGTTGAACATTCCCTATCATAGAGCAGGTTTGAATCACTCCTTTTGTAGTATCTGGAAGTGGACATTTGGAGCGCTTTCAGGCCTATGTTGGAAAAGGAAATATCTTCCCATAACAACTAGACAGAAGCATTCTCAGAAACTTATTTGAGATGTGTGTACTCAACTAAGAGAATTGAACCACCGTTTTGAAGGAGCAGTTTTGAAACACCCTTTTTCTGGAATCTGCAAGTGGATATTTGGCTAGCTTTGGGGATTTCGCTGGAAGCGGGAATACATATAAAAAGCACACAGCAGCGTTCTGAGAAACTGCTTTCTGATGTTTGCATTCAAGTCAAAAGTTGAACACTCCCTTTCATAGAGCAGTCTTGAAACACCCCTTTTGTAGTATCTGGAACTGGACTTTTGGAGCGATTTTAGGGCTAAGGTGAAAAAGGAAATATCTTCCCAGAAAAACTGGACAGAAGCATTCTCAGAAACTTGGTTATGCTGTATCTACTCAACTAACAAAGTTGAACCTTTCTTTTGATAGAGCAGTTTTGAAATGGTCTTTTTGTGGAATCTGCAAGTGGATATTTGGCTAGTTTTGAGGATTTCGTTGGAAGCGGGAATTCATACAAATTGCAGACTGCAGCGTTCTGAGAAACATCTTTGTGATGTTTGTATTCAGGACACAGAGTTGAACATTCCCTATCATAGAGCAGGTTGGAATCACTCCTTTTGTAGTATCTGGAAGTGGACATTTGGAGCGCTTTCAGGCCTATTTTGGAAAGGGAAATATCTTCCCGTAACAACTATGCAGAAGCATTCTCAGAAACTTGTTTGTGATGTGTGCCCTCTACTGACAGAGTTGAACCTTTCTTTTCATAGAGCAGTTTTGAAACACTCTTTTTGTAGAATCTGCAAGAGGATATTTGCATAGCTTTGAGGATTTCGTGGGAAACGGGATTGTCTTCAGGTAAAATCTAGACAGAAGCATTCTCAGAAACTTCTTTGGGATGTTTGCATTCAAGTCACAGAGCAGAACATTCCCTTTGGTAGAGCAGGTTTGAAACACTCTTTTTGTAGTATCTGGAAGTGGACATTTGGAGCGCTTTCAGGCCTATGTTGGAAAGGGAAATATCTTCCCGTAACAACTAGGCAGAAGCATTCTCAGAAACTTATTTGAGATGTGTGTACTCAACTAAGAGAATTGAACCACCGTTTTGAAGGAGCAGTTTTGAAACACTCTTTTTCTGGAATCTGCAAGAGGATATTTGCCTAGCCTTGAGGATTTCGTTGGAAACGGGATTGTCTTCAGATCAAATCTAGACAGAAGCATTCTCAGAAACTTCTTTGGGATGTTTGCATTCAAGTCACAGAGTAGAACATTCCCTTTGGTAGAGCAGGTTTGAAACACTCTTTTTTTAGTATATGGAAGTGGACATTTGGAGCGCTTTCAGGCCTACGTTGGAAAAGGAAATATCTTCCCATAACAACTAGACAGAAGCATTCTCAGAAACTAGTTTCTGATGTGTGTCCTCAACTAACACAGTTGAACATTTCTTTAGACAGAACAGTTTTGAAACTCTCTTTTTGTGGAATCTGCAAGTGGCTATTTGGCTAGATTTGAGGATTTCGTTGGAAACGGGATTACATATAAAAAGCAGACAGCAGCATTCTCAGAAAGTTCTTTGTGATGATTGCATTCAAGTCACAGAATTGAACATTCCCTTTCACAGAGCAGGTTTGAAACACTCTTTTTATAGTGTGTGTAAGTGGACATTTGGAGCACTTTCCGGCCTAAGGTGAAAAAGGAAATATCTTCCCATAAAAACTAGACAGAAGCATTCTCAGAAACTTACTCGTGATGTGTGTCCTCAACTAAAGGAGTAGAAACTTTGTTTTCATAGAGAAGTTTTGAAACGCTCTTTTTGTGGAATCTGCAAGTGGATATTTGGCTAGTTTGGAGGATTTCGTTGGAAGCGGGAATTCATACAAATTGCAGACTGCAGCGTTCTGAGAAACATCTTTGTGATGTTTGTATTCAGGACACAGAGTTGAACATTCCCTATCATAGAGCAGGTTGGAATCACTCCTTTTGTAGTATCTGGAAGTGGACATTTGGAGCGCTTTCAGGCCTATGTTGGAAAAGGAAATATCTTCCCATAACAACTAGACAGAAGCATTCTCAGAAACTTATTTGAGATGTGTGTACTCAACTAAGAGAATTGAACCACCGTTTTGAAGGAGCAGTTTTGAAACACTCTTTTTCTGGAATCTGCAAGTGGATATTTGGCTAGCTTTGGGGATTTCGCTGGAGGCGGGAATACATATAAAAAGCACACAGCAGCGTTCTGAGAAACTGCTTTCTGATGTTTGCATTCAAGTCAAAATTTGAACACTCCCTTTCATAGAGCAGTCCTGAAACACTCCTTTTGTAGTATCTGGAACTGGACTTTTGGAGCGCTTTCAGGGCTAAGGTGAAAAAGGAAATATCTTCCCATAAAAACTGGACAGAAACATTCTCAGAAACTTGTTTATGCTGTATCTACTCAACTAACAAAGTTGAACCTTTCTTTTGATAGAGCAGTTTTGAAATGCTCTTTTTGTGGAATCTGCAAGTGGATATTTGGCTAGTTTTGAGGATTTCGTTGGAAGCGGGAATTCATACAAATTGCAGACTGCAGCGTTCTGAGAAACATCTTTGTGATGTTTGTATTCAGGACAGAGAGTTGAACATTCCCTATCATAGAGCAGGTTGGAATCACTCCTTTTGTAGTATCTGGAAGTGGACATTTGGAGCGCTTTCTGGCCTATGTTGAAAAAGGAAATATCTTCCCATAACAACTAGACACAAGCATTCTCAGAAACTTGTTTGTGATGTGTGCCCTCTACTGACAGAGTTGAACCTTTCTTTTCATAGAGCAGTTTTGAAACACTCTTTTTGTAGAATCTGCAAGAGGATATTTGCATAGCTTTGAGGATTTCGTGGGAAACGGGATTGTCTTCAGGTAAAATCTAGACAGAAGCATTCTCAGAAACTTCTTTGGGATGTTTGCATTCAAGTCACAGAGTAGAACATTCCCTTTGGTAGAGCAGGTTTGAAACCCTCTTTTTGTAGTATCTGGAAGTGGACATTTGGAGCGCTTTCAGGCCCATGTTGGAAAGGGAAATATCTTCCCGTAACAACTAGGCAGAAGCATTCTCAGAAACTTATTTGAGATGTGTGTACTCAACTAAGAGAATTGAACCACCGTTTTGAAGGAGCAGTTTTGAAACACTCTTTTTCTGGAATCTGCAAGAGTATATTTGCCTAGCCTTGAGGATTTCGTTGGAAACGGGATTGTCTTCAGATAAAATCTAGACAGAAGCATTCTCAGAAACTTCTTTGGGATGTTTGCATTCAAGTCACAGAGTAGAACATTCCCTTTGGTAGAGCAGGTTTGAAACACTCTTTTTTTAGTATATGGAAGTGGACATTTGGAGCGCTTTCAGGCCTACGTTGGAAAAGGAAATATCTTCCCATAACAACTAGACAGAAGCATTCTCAGAAACTAGTTTCTGATGTGTGTCCTCAACTAACACAGTTGAACATTTCTTTAGACAGAACAGTTTTGAAACACTCTTTTTGTGGAATCTGCAAGTGGCTATTTGGCTAGATTTGAGGATTTCGTTGGAAACGGGATTACATATAAAAAGCAGACAGCAGCATTCTCAGAAAGTTCTTTGTGATGATTGCATTCAAGTCACAGAATTGAACATTCCCTTTCACAGAGCAGGTTTGAAACACTCTTTTTGTAGGGTGTGTAAGTGGACATTTGGAGCACTTTCCGGCCTAAGGTGAAAAAGGAAATATCTTCCCATAAAAACTAGACAGAAGCATTCTCAGAAACTTACTCGTGATGTGTGTCCTCAACTAAAGGAGTAGAACCTTTCTTTTCATAGAGAAGTTTTGAAACGCTCTTTTTGTGGAATCTGCAAGTGGATATTTGGCTAGTTTGGAGGATTTCGTTGGAAGCGGGAATTCATACAAATTGCAGACTGCAGCGTTCTGAGAAACATCTTTGTGATGTTTGTATTCAGGACACAGAGTTGAACATTCCCTATCATAGAGCAGGTTTGAATCACTCCTTTTGTAGTATCTGGAAGTGGACATTTGGAGCGCTTTCAGGCCCTATGTTGGAAAAGGAAATATCTTCCCATAACAAATAGACAGGAAGCATTCTCAGAAACTTATTTGAGATGTGTGTACTCAACTAAGAGAATTGAACCACCGTTTTGAAGGAGCAGTTTTGAAACTCTCTTTTTCTGGAATCTGCAAGTGGATATTTGGCTAGCTTTGGGGATTTCGCTGGAAGCGGGAATACATATAAAAAGCACACAGCAGCGTTCTGAGAAACTGCTTTCTGATGTTTGCATTCAAGTCAAAAGTTGAACACTCCCTTTCATAGAGCAGTCCTGAAACACCCCTTTTGTAGTATCTGGAACTGGACTTTTGGAGCGATTTCAGGGCTAAGGTGAAAAAGGAAATATCTTCCCATAAAAACTGGACAGAAGCATTCTCAGAAACTTGTTTATGCTGTATCTACTCAACTAACAAAGTTGAACCTTTCTTTTGATAGAGCAGTTTTGAAATGGTCTTTTTGTGGAATCTGCAAGTGGATATTTGGCTAGTTTTGAGGATTTCGTTGGAAGCGGGAATTCATACAAATTGCAGACTGCAGCGTTCTGAGAAACATCTTTGTGATGTTTGTATTCAGGACACAGAGTTGAACATTCCCTATCATAGAGCAGGTTGGAATCATTCCTTTTGTAGTATCTGGAAGTGGACATTTGGAGCGCTTTCAGGCCTATTTTGGAAAGGGAAATATCTTCCCGTAACAACTATGCAGAAGCATTCTCAGAAACTTGTTTGTGATGTGTGCCCTCTACTGACAGAGTTGAACCTTTCTTTTCATAGAGCATTTTTGAAACACTCTTTTTGTAGAATCTGCAAGAGGATATTTGCATAGCTTTGAGGATTTCGTGGGAAACGGGATTGTCTTCAGGTAAAATCTAGACAGAAGCATTCTCAGAAACTTCTTTGGGATGTTTGCATTCAAGTCACAGAGTAGAACATTCCCTTTGGTAGAGCAGGTTTGAAACACTCTTTTTGTAGTATCTGGAAGTGGACATTTGGAGCGCTTTCAGGCCTATGTTGGAAAGGGAAATATCTTCCCGTAACAACTAGGCAGAAGCATTCTCAGAAACTTATTTGAGATGTGTGTACTCAACTAAGAGAATTGAACCACCGTTTTGAAGGAGCAGTTTTGAAACACTCTTTTTCTGGAATCTGCAAGAGGATATTTGCCTAGCCTTGAGGATTTCGTAGGAAACGGGATTGTCTTCAGATCAAATCTAGACAGAAGCATTCTCAGAAACTTCTTTGGGATGTTTGCATTCAAGTCACAGAGTAGAACATTCCCTTTGGTAGAGCAGGTTTGAAACACTCTTTTTTTAGTATCTGGAAGTGGACATTTGGAGCGCTTTCAGGCCTACGTTGGAAAAGGAAATATCTTCCCATAACAACTAGACAGAAGCATTCTCAGAAACTAGTTTCTGATGTGTGTCCTCAACTAACACAGTTGAACATTTCTTTAGACAGAACAGTTTTGAAACACTCTTTTTGTGGAATCTGCAAGTGGCTATTTGGCTAGATTTGAGGATTTCGTTGGAAACGGGATTACATATAAAAAGCAGACAGCAGCATTCTCAGAAAGTTCTTTGTGATGATTGCATTCAAGTCACAGAATTGAACATTCCCTTTCACAGAGCAGGTTTGAAACACTCTTTTTGTAGTGTGTGTAAGTGGACATTTGGAGCACTTTCCGGCCTAAGGTGAAAAAGGGAATATCTTCCCATAAAAACTAGACAGAAGCATTCTCAGAAACTTACTCGTGATGTGTGTCCTCAACTAAAGGAGTAGAACCTTTGTTTTCATAGAGAAGTTTTGAAACGCTCTTTTTGTGGAATCTGCAAGTGGATATTTGGCTAGTTTGGAGGATTTCGTTGGAAGCGGGAATTCATACAAATTGCAGACTGCAGCGTTCTGAGAAACATCTTTGTGATGTTTGTATTCAGGACACAGAGTTGAACATTCCCTATCATAGAGCAGGTTGGAATCACTCCTTTTGTAGTATCTGGAAGTGGACATTTGGAGCGCTTTCAGGCCTATGTTGGAAAAGGAAATATCTTCCCATAACAACTAGACAGAAGCATTCTCAGAAACTTATTTGAGATGTGTGTACTCAACTAAGAGAATTGAACCACCGTTTTGAAGGAGCAGTTTTGAAACACTCTTTTTCTGGAATCTGCAAGTGGATATTTGGCTAGCTTTGGGGATTTCGCTGGAAGCGGGAATACATATAAAAAGCACACAGCAGCGTTCTGAGAAACTGCTTTCTGATGTTTGCATTCAAGTCAAAATTTGAACACTCCCTTTCATAGAGCAGTCTTGAAACACCCGTTTTGTAGTATCTGGAACTGGACTTTTGGAGCGATTTCAGGGCTAAGGTGAAAAAGGAAATATCTTCCCATAAAAACTGGACAGAAGCATTCTCAGAAACTTGTTTATGCTGTAACTACTCAACTAACAAAGTTGAACCTTTCTTTTGATAGAGCAGTTTTGAAATGGTCTTTTTGTGGAATCTGCAAGTGGATATTTGGCTAGTTTTGAGGATTTCGTTGGAAGCGGGAATTCATACAAATTGCAGACTGCAGCGTTCTGAGAAACATCTTTGTGATGTTTGTATTCAGGACACAGATTTGAACATTCCCTATCATAGAGCAGGTTGGAATCACTCCTTTTGTAGTATCTGGAAGTGGACATTTGGAGCGCTTTCAGGCCTATGTTGAAAAAGGAAATATCTTCCCATAACAACTAGACACAAGCATTCTCAGAAACTTGTTTGTGATGTGTGCCCTCTACTGACAGAGTTGAACCTTTCTTTTCATAGAGCAGTTTTGAAACACTCTTTTTGTAGAATCTGCAAGAGGATATTTGCATAGCTTTGAGGATTTCGTGGGAAACGGGATTGTCTTCAGGTAAAATCTAGACAGAAGCATTCTCAGAAACTTCTTTGGGATGTTTGCATTCAAGTCACAGAGTAGAACATTCCCTTTGGTAGAGCAGGTTTGAAACCCTCTTTTTGTAGTATCTGGAAGTGGACATTTGGAGCGCTTTCAGGCCCATGTTGGAAAGGGAAATATCTTCCCGTAACAACTAGGCAGAAGCATTCTCAGAAACTTATTTGAGATGTGTGTACTCAACTAAGAGAATTGAACCACCGTTTTGAAGGAGCAGTTTTGAAACACTCTTTTTCTGGAATCTGCAAGAGTATATTTGCCTAGCCTTGAGAATTTCGTTGGAAACGGGATTGTCTTCAGATCAAATCTAGACAGAAGCATTCTCAGAAACTTCTTTGGGATGTTTGCATTCAAGTCACAGAGTAGAACATTCCCTTTGGTAGAGCAGGTTTGAAACACTCTTTTTTTAGTATATGGAAGTGGACATTTGGAGCGCTTTCAGGCCTACGTTGGAAAAGGAAATATCTTCCCATAACAACTAGACAGAAGCATTCTCAGAAACTAGTTTCTGATGTGTGTCCTCAACTAACACAGTTGAACATTTCTTTAGACAGAACAGTTTTGAAACTCTCTTTTTGTGGAATCTGCAAGTGGCTATTTGGCTAGATTTGAGGATTTCGTTGGAAACGGGATTACATATAAAAAGCAGACAGCAGCATTCTCAGAAAGTTCTTTGTGATGATTGCATTCAAGTCACAGAATTGAACATTCCCATTCACAGAGCAGGTTTGAAACACTCTTTTTATAGTGTGTGTAAGTGGACATTTGGAGCACTTTCCGACCTAAGGTGAAAAAGGAAATATCTTCCCATAAAAACTAGACAGAAGCATTCTCAGAAACTTACTCGTGATGTGTGTCCTCAACTAAAGGAGTAGAACCTTTCTATTCATAGAGAAGTTTTGAAACGCTCTTTTTGTGGAATCTCCAAGTGGATATTTGGCTAGTTTTGAGGATTTCGTTGGAAGCGGGAATTCATACAAATTGCAGACTGCAGCGTTCTGAGAAACATCTTTGTGATGTTTGTATTCAGGACACAGAGTTGAATATTCCCTATCATAGAGCAGGTTGGAATCACTCCTTTTGTCGTATCTGGAAGTGGACGTTTGGAGCGTTTTCAGGCCTATGTTGGAAAAGGAAATATCCTCCCATAACAGCTAGACAGAAGCATTCTCAGAAACCTATTGGAGATGTGTGTACTCAACTAGGAGAATTGAACCACCGTTTTGAAGGAGCAGTTTTGAAATACTCTTTTTCTGGAATCTGCAAGTGGATATTTGGCTAGCTTTGGGGATATCGCTGGAAGCGGGAATACATATAAAAAGCACACAGCAGCGTTCTAAGAAACTGCTTTCTGATGTTTGCATTCAAGTCAAAAGTTGAACACTCCCTTTCATAGAGCAGTCCTGAAACACTCCTTTTGTAGTATCTGGAACTGGACTTTTGGAGCGCTTTCAGGGCTAAGGTGAAAAAGGAAATATCTTCCCATAAAAACTGGACAGAAGCATTCTCAGAAACTTGTTTATGCTGTATCTACTCAACTAACAAAGTTGAACCTTTCTTTTGATAGAGCAATTTTGAAATGCTCTTTTTGTGGAATCTGCAAGTGGATATTTGGCTAGTTTTGAGGATTTCGTTGGAAGCGGGAATTCATACAAATTGCAGACTGCAGCGTTCTGAGAAACATCTTTGTGATGTTTGTATTCAGGACAGAGAGTTGAACATTCCCTATCATAGAGCAGGTTGGAATCACTCCTTTTGTAGTATCTGGAAGTGGACATTTGGAGCGCTTTCAGGCCTATGTTGAAAAAGGAGATATCTTCCCATAACAACTAGACACAAGCATTCTCAGAAACTTGTTTGTGATGTGTGCCCTCTACTGACAGAGTTGAACCTTTCTTTTCATAGAGCAGTTTTGAAACACTCTTTTTGTAGAATCTGCAAGAGGATATTTGCATAGCTTTGAGGATTTCGTGGGAAACGGGATTGTCTTCAGGTAAAATCTAGACAGAAGCATTCTCAGAAACTTCTTTGGGATGTTTGCATTCAAGTCACAGAGTAGAACATTCCCTTTGGTAGAGCAGGTTTGAAACACTCTTTTTGTAGTATCTGGAAGTGGACATTTGGAGCGCTTTCAGGCCTATGTTGGAAAGGGAAATATCTTCCCGTAACAACTAGGCAGAAGCATTCTCAGAAACTTATTTGAGATGTGTGTACTCAACTAAGAGAATTGAATCACCGTTTTGAAGGAGCAGTTTTGAAACACTCTTTTTCTGGAATCTGCAAGAGGATATTTGCCTAGCCTTTAGGATTTCGTTGGAAACGGGATTGTCTTCAGATCAAATCTAGACAGAAGCATTCTCAGAAACTTCTTTGGGATGTTTGCATTCAAGTCACGGAGTAGAACATTCCCTTTGTTAGAGCAGGTTTGAAACACTCTTTTTTTAGTATATGGAAGTGGACATTTGGAGCGCTTTCAGGTCTACGTTGGAAAAGGAAATATCTTCCCATAACAACTAGACAGAAGCATTCTCAGAAACTAGTTTCTGATGTGTGTCCTCAACTAACACAGTTGAACATTTCTTTAGACAGAACAGTTTTGAAACACTCTTTTTGTGGAATCTGCAAGTGGCTATTTGGCTAGATTTGAGGATTTCGTTGGAAACGGGATTACATATAAAAAGCAGTCAGCAGCATTCTCAGAAACTTCTTTGTGATGATTGCATTCAAGTCACAGAATTGAACATTCCCTTTCACAGAGCAGGTTTGAAACACTCTTTTTGTAGTGTGTGTAAGTGGACATTTGGAGCACTTTCCGGCCTAAGGTGAAAAAGGAAATATCTTCCCATAAAAACTAGACAGAAGCATTCTCAGAAACTTACTCGTGATGTGTGTCCTCAACTAAAGGAGTAGAACCTTTCTATTCATAGAGAAGTTTTGAAACGCTCTTTTTGTGGAATCTCCAAGTGGATATTTGGCTAGTGTTGAGGATTTCGTTGGAAGCGGGAATTCATACAAATTGCAGACTGCAGCGTTCTGAGAAACATCGTTGTGATGTTTGTATTCAGGACACAGAGTTGAACATTCCCTATCATAGAGCAGGTTTGAATCACTCCTTTTGTAGTATCTGGAAGTGGACATTTGGAGCGCTTTCCGTCCTATGTTGGAAAAGGAAATATCTTCCCATAACAACTAGACAGAAGCATTCTCAGAAACTTATTTGAGATGTGTCTACTCAACTAAGAGAATTGAACCACCGTTTTGAAGGAGCAGTTTTGAAACACTCTTTTTCTGGAATCTGCAAGTGGATATTTGGCTAGCTTTGGGGATTTCGCTGGAAGCGGGAATACATATAAAAAGCACACAGCAGCGTTCTGAGAAACAGCTTTCTGATGTTTGCATTCAAGTCAAAAGTTGAACACTCCGTTTCATAGAGCAGTCTTGAAACACCCCTTTTGTAGTATCTGGAACTGGACTTTTGGAGCGATTTTAGGGCTAAGGTGAAAAAGGAAATATCTTCCCATAAAAACTGGACAGAAGCATTCTCAGAAACTTGTTTATGCTGTATCTACTCAACTAACAAAGTTGAACCTTTCTTTTGATAGAGCAGTTTTGAAATGGTCTTTTTGTGGAATCTGCAAGTGGATATTTGGCTAGTTTTGAGGATTTCGTTGGAAGCGGGAATTCATACAAATTGCAGACTGCAGCGTTCTGAGAAACATCTTTGTGATGTTTGTATTCAGGACACAGAGTTGAACATTCCCTATCATAGAGCAGGTTGGAATCACTCCTTTTGTAGTATCTGGAAGTGGACATTTGGAGCGCTTTCAGGCCTATGTTGGAAAAGGAAATATCTTCCCATAACAACTAGACAGAAGCATTCTCAGAAACTTATTTGAGATGTGTGTACTCAACTAAGAGAATTGAACCACCGTTTTGAAGGAGCAGTTTTGAAACACTCTTTTTCTGGAATCTGCAAGTGGATATTTGGCTAGCTTTGGGGATTTCGCTGGAAGCGGGAATACATATAAAAAGCACACAGCAGCGTTCTGAGAAACTGCTTTCTGATGTTTGCATTCAAGTCAAAAGTTGAACACTCCCTTTCATAGTGCAGTCCTGAAACACTCCTTTTGTACTATCTGGAACTGGACTTTTGGAGCGCTTTCAGGGCTAAGGTGAAAAAGGAAATATCTTCCCATAAAAACTGGACAGAAGCATTCTCAGAAACTTGTTTATGCTGTATCTACTCAACTAACAAAGTTGAACCTTTCTTTTGATAGAGCAGTTTTGAAATGCTCTTTTTGTGGAATCTGCAAGTGGATATTTGGCTAGTTTTGAGGATTTCGTTGGAAGCGGGAATTCATACAAATTGCAGACTGCAGCGTTCTGAGAAACATCTTTGTGATGTTTGTATTCAGGACAGAGAGTTGAACATTCCCTATCATAGAGCAGGTTGGAATCACTCCTTTTGTAGTATCTGGAAGTGGACATTTGGAGCGCTTTCAGGCCTATGTTGAAAAAGGAAATATCTTCCCATAACAACTAGACACAAGCATTCTCAGAAACTTGTTTGTGATGTGTGCCCTCTACTGACAGAGTTGAACCTTTCTTTTCATAGAGCAGTTTTGAAACACTCTTTTTGTAGAATCTGCAAGAGGATATTTGCATAGCTTTGAGGATTTCGTGGGAAACGGGATTGTCTTCAGGTAAAATCTAGACAGAAGCATTCTCAGAAACTTCTTTGGGATGTTTGCATTCAAGTCACAGAGTAGAACATTCCCTTTGGTAGAGCAGGTTTGAAACACTCTTTTTGTAGTATCTGGAAGTGGACATTTGGAGCGCTTTCAGGCCTATGTTGGAAAGGGAAATATCTTCCCGTAACAACTAGGCAGAAGCATTCTCAGAAACTTATTTGAGATGTGTGTACTCAACTAAGAGAATTGAACCACCGTTTTGAAGGAGCAGTTTTGAAACACTCTTTTTCTGGAATCTGCAAGAGGATATTTGCCTAGCCTTGAGGATTTCGTTGGAAACGGGATTGTCTTCAGATCAAATCTAGACAGAAGCATTCTCAGAAACTTCTTTGGGATGTTTGCATTCAAGTCACAGAGTAGAACATTCCCTTTGGTAGAGCAGGTTTGAAACACTCTTTTTTTAGTATATGGAAGTGGACATTTGGAGCGCTTTCAGGCCTACGTTGGAAAAGGAAATATCTTCCCATAACAACTAGACAGAAGCATTCTCAGAAACTAGTTTCTGATGTGTGTCCTCAACTAACACAGTTGAACATTTCTTTAGACAGAACAGTTTTGAAACACTCTTTTTGTGGAATCTGCAAGTGGCTATTTGGCTAGATTTGAGGATTTCGTTGGAAACGGGATTACATATAAAAAGCAGACAGCAGCATTCTCAGAAAGTTCTTTGTGATGATTGCATTCAAGTCACAGAATTGAACATTCCCTTTCACAGAGCAGGTTTGAAACACTCTTTTTGTAGTGTGTGTAAGTGGACATTTGGAGCACTTTCCGGCCTAAGGTGAAAAAGGAAATATCTTCCCATAAAAACTAGACAGAAGCATTCTCAGAAACTTACTCGTGATGTGAGTCCTCAACTAAAGGAGTAGAACCTTTCTTTTCATAGAGAAGTTTTGAAACGCTCTTTTTGTGGAATCTGCAAGTGGATATTTGGCTAGTTTTGAGGATTTCGTTGGAAGCGGGAATTCATACAAATTGCAGACTGCAGCATTCTCAGAAACTTGTTTATGCTGTATCTACTCAACTAACAAAGTTGAACCTTTCTTTTGATAGAGCAGTTTTGAAATGCTCTTTTTGTGGAATCTGCAAGTGGATATTTGGCTAGTTTTGAGGATTTCGTTGGAAGCGGGAATTCATACAAATTGCAGACTGCAGCGTTCTGAGAAACATCTTTGTGATGTTTGTATTCAGGACAGAGAGTTGAACATTACCTATCATAGAGCAGGTTGGAATCACTCCTTTTGTAGTATCTGGAAGTGGACATTTGGAGCACTTTCAGGCCTATGTTGAAAAAGGAAATATCTTCCCATAACAACTAGACACAAGCATTCTCAGAAACTTGTTTGTGATGTGTGCCCTCTACTGACAGAGTTGAACCTTTCTTTTCATAGAGCAGTTTTGAAACACTCTTTTTGTAGAATCTGCAAGAGGATATTTGCATAGCTTTGAGGATTTCGTGGGAAACGGGATTGTCTTCAGGTAAAATCTAGACAGAAGCATTCTCAGAAACTTCTTTGGGATGTTTGCATTCAAGTCACAGAGCAGAACATTCCCTTTGGTAGAGCAGGTTTGAAACACTCTTTTTGTAGTATCTGGAAGTGGACATTTGGAGCGCTTTCAGGCCTATGTTGGAAAGGGAAATATCTTCCCGTAACAACTAGGCAGAAGCATTCTCAGAAACTTATTTGAGATGTGTGTACTCAACTAAGAGAATTGAACCACCGTTTTGAAGGAGCAGTTTTGAAACACTCTTTTTCTGGAATCTGCAAGAGGATATTTGCCTAGCCTTGAGGATTTCGTTGGAAACGGGATTGTCTTCAGATCAAATCTAGACAGAAGCATTCTCAGAAACTTCTTTGGGATGTTTGCATTCAAGTCACAGAGTAGAACATTCCCTTTGGTAGAGCAGGTTTGAAACACTCTTTTTTTAGTATATGGAAGTGGACATTTGGAGCGCTTTCAGGCCTACGTTGGAAAAGGAAATATCTTCCCATAACAACTAGACAGAAGCATTCTCAGAAACTAGTTTCTGATGTGTGTCCTCAACTAACACAGTTGAACATTTCTTTAGACAGAACAGTTTTGAAACACTCTTTTTGTGGAATCTGCAAGTGGCTATTTGGCTAGATTTGAGGATTTCGTTGGAAACGGGATTACATATAAAAAGCAGACAGCAGCATTCTCAGAAAGTTCTTTGTGATGATTGCATTCAAGTCACAGAATTGAACATTCCCTTTCACAGAGCAGGTTTGAAACACTCTTTTTGTAGTGTGTGTAAGTGGACATTTGGAGCACTTTCCGGCCTAAGGTGAAAAAGGAAATATCTTCCCATAAAAACTAGACAGAAGCATTCTCAGAAACTTACTCGTGATGTGTGTCCTCAACTAAAGGAGTAGAACCTTTCTTTTCATAGAGAAGTTTTGAAACGCTCTTTTTGTGGAATCTGCAAGTGGATATTTGGCTAGTTTTGAGGATTTCGTTGGAAGCGGGAATTCATACAAATTGCAGACTGCAGCGTTCTGAGAAACATCTTTGTGATGTTTGTATTCAGCACACAGAGTTGAACATTCCCTATCATAGAGCAGGTTTGAATCACTCCTTTTGTAGTATCTGGAAGTGGACATTTGGAGCGCTTTCAGGCCTATGTTGGAAAAGGAAATATCTTCCCATAACAACTAGACAGAAGCATTCTCAGAAACTTATTTGAGATGTGTGTACTCAACTAAGAGAATTGAACCACCGTTTTGAAGGAGCAGTTTTGAAACACTCTTTTTCTGGAATCTGCAAGTGGATATTTGGCTAGCTTTGGGGATTTCGCTGGAAGCGGGAATACATATAAAAAGCACACAGCAGCGTTCTAAGAAACTGCTTTCTGATGTTTGCATTCAAGTCAAAAGTTGAACACTCCCTTTCATAGAGCAGTCTTGAAACACCCCTTTTGTAGTATCTGGAACTGGACTTTTGGAGCGCTTTCAGGGCTAAGGTGAAAAAGGAAATATCTTCCCATAAAAACTGGACAGAAGCATTCTCAGAAACTTGTTTATGCTGTATCTACTCAACTAACAAAGTTGAACCTTTCTTTTGATAGAGCAGTTTTGAAATGCTCTTTTTGTGGAATCTGCAAGTGGATATTTGGCTAGTTTTGAGGATTTTCGTTGGAAGCCGGAATTCATACAAATTGCAGACTGCAGCATTCTCAGAAACTTATTTGAGATGTGTGTACTCAACTAAGAGAATTGAACCACCGTTTTGAAGGAGCAGTTTTGAAACACTCTTTTTCTGGAATCTGCAAGTGGATATTTGGCTAGCTTTGGGGATTTCGCTGGAAGCGGGAATACATATAAAAAGCACACAGCAACGTTCTGAGAAACTGCTTTCTGATGTTTGCATTCAAGTCAAAAGTTGAACACTCCCTTTCATAGAGCAGTCCTGAAACACTCCTTTTGTAGTATCTGGAACTGGACTTTTGGAGCGCTTTCAGGGCTAAGGTGAAAAAGGAAATATCTTCCCATAAAAACTGGACAGAAGCATTCTCAGAAACTTGTTTATGCTGTATCTACTCAACTAACAAAGTTGAACCTTTCTTTTGATAGAGCAGTTTTGAAATGCTCTTTTTGTGGAATCTGCAAGTGGATATTTGGCTAGTTTTGAGGATTTCGTTGGAAGCGGGAATTCATACAAATTGCAGACTGCAGCGTTCTGAGAAACATCTTTGTGATGTTTGTATTCAGGACAGAGAGTTGAACATTCCCTATCATAGAGCAGGTTGGAATCACTCCTTTTGTAGTATCTGGAAGTGGACATTTGGAGCGCTTTCAGGCCTATGTTGAAAAAGGAAATATCTTCCCATAACAACTAGACACAAGCATTCTCAGAAACTTGTTTGTGATGTGTGCCCTCTACTGACAGAGTTGAACCTTTCTTTTCATAGAGCAGTTTTGAAACACTCTTTTTGTAGAATCTGCAAGAGGATATTTGCATAGCTTTGAGGATTTCGTGGGAAACGGGATTGTCTTCAGGTAAAATCTAGACAGAAGCATTCTCAGAAACTTCTTTGGGATGTTTGCATTCAAGTCACAGAGTAGAACATTCCCTTTGGTAGAGCAGGTTTGAAACACTCTTTTTGTAGTATCTGGAAGTGGACATTTGGAGCGCTTTCAGGCCTATGTTGGAAAGGGAAATATCTTCCCGTAACAACTAGGCAGAAGCATTCTCAGAAACTTATTTGAGATGTGTGTACTCAACTAAGAGAATTGAACCACCGTTTTGAAGGAGCAGTTTTGAAACACTCTTTTTCTGGAATCTGCAAGAGGATATTTGCCTAGCCTTGAGGATTTCGTTGGAAACGGGATTGTCTTCAGATCAAATCTAGACAAAGTAAGCATTCTCAGAAACTTCTTTGGGATGCTTGCATTCAAGTCACAGAGTAGAACATTCCCTTTGGTAGAGCAGGTTTGAAACACTCTTTTTGTAGTATCTGGAAGTGGACATTTGGAGCGCTTTCAGGCCTACGTTGGAAAAGGAAATATCTTCCCATAACAACTAGACAGAAGCATTCTCAGAAACCAGTTTCTGATATGTGTCCTCAACTAACACAGTTGAACTTTTCTTTAGACAGAACAGTTTTGAAACACTCTTTTTGTGGAATCTGCAAGTGGATATTGGGCTAGATTTGAGGATTTCGTTGGAAACGGGATTACATATAAAAAACAGTCAGCAGCATTCTCAGAAAGTTCTTTGTGATGATTGCATTCAAGTCACAGAATTGAACATTCCCTTTCACAGAGCAGGTTTGAAACACTCTTTTTGTAGTGTGTGTAAGTGGACATTTGGAGCGCTTTCCGGCCTAAGGTGAAAAAGGACATATCTTCCCATAAAAACTAGACAGAAGCATTCTCAGAAACTTACTCGTGATGTGTGTCCTCAACTAAAGGAGTAGAACCTTTCTATTCATAGAGAAGTTTTGAAACGCTCTTTTTGTGGAATCTCCAAGTGGATATTTGGTTAGTTTTGAGGATTTCGTTGGAAGCGGGAATTCATACAAATTGCAGACTGCAGCGTTCTGAGAAACATCTTTGTGATGTTTGTATTCAAGACACAGAGATGAACATTCCCTATCATAGAGCAGGTTGGAATCACTCCTTTTGTAGTATCTGGAAGTGGACATTTGGAGCGCTTTCAGGCCTATGTTGAAAAAGGAAATATCTTCCCATAACAACTAGACACAAGCATTCTCAGAAACTTATTTGAGATGTGTGTACTCAACTAAGAGAATTGAACCACCGTTTTGAAGGAGCAGTTTTGAAACACTCTTTTTCTGGAATCTGCAAGTGGATATTTGGCTAGCTTTGGGGATTTCGCTGGAAGCGGGAATACATATAAAAAGCACACAGCAGCGTTCTGAGAAACTGCTTTCTGATGTTTGCATTCAAGTCAAAAGTTGAACACTCCCTTTCATAGAGCAGTCTTGAAACACCCCTTTTGTAGTATCTGGAACTGGAAATTTGGAGCGCTTTCAGGGCTAAGGTGAAAAAGGAAATATCTTCCCATAAAAACTGGACAGAAGCATTCTCAGAAACTTGTTTATGCTGTATCTACTCTACTAACAAAGTTGAACCTTTCTTTTGATAGAGCAGTTTTGAAATGCTCTTTTTGTGGAATCTGCAAGTGGATATTTGGCTAGTTTTGAGGATTTCGTTGGAAGCTGGAATTCATGCAAATTGCAGACTGCAGCGTTCTGAGAAACATCTTTGTGATGTTTGTATTCAGGACAGAGAGTTGAACATTCCCTATCATAGAGCAGGTTGGAATCACTCCTTTTGTAGTATCTGGAAGTGGACATTTGGAGCGCTTTCAGGCCTATGTTGAAAAAGGAAATATCTTCCCATAACAACTAGACACAAGCATTCTCAGAAACTTGTTTGTGATGTGTGCCCTCTACTGACACAGTTGAACCTTTCTTTTCATAGAGCAGTTTCGAAACACTCTTTTTGTAGAATCTGCAAGAGGATATTTGCATAGCTTTGAGGATTTCGTGGGAAACGGGATTGTCTTCAGGTAAAATCTAGACAGAAGCATTCTCAGAAACTTCTTTGGGATGTTTGCATTCAAGTCACAGAGCAGAACATTCCCTTTGGTAGAGCAGGTTTGAAACACTCTTTTTTTAGTATATGGAAGTGGACATTTGGAGCGCTTTCAGGCCTACGTTGGAAAAGGAAATATCTTCCCATAACAACTAGGCAGAAGCATTCTCAGAAACTAGTTTCTGATGTGTGTCCTCAACTAACACAGTTGAACTTTTCTTTAGACAGAACAGTTTTGAAACACTCTTTTTGTGGAATCTGCAAGTGGATATTTGGCTAGATTTGAGGATTTCGTTGGAAACGGGATTACATATAAAAAGCAGACAGCAGCATTCTCAGAAACTTCTTTGTGATGATTGCATTCAAGTCACAGAATTGAACATTCCCTTTCACAGAGCAGGTTTGAAACACTCTTTTTGTAGTGTGTGTAAGTGGACATTTGGAGCGCTTTCCGGCCTAAGGTGAACAAGGAAATATCTTCCCATAAAAACTAGACAGAAGCATTCTCAGAAACTTACTCGTGATGTGTGTCCTCAACTAAAGGAGTAGAACCTTTCTTTTCATAGAGAAGTTTTGAAACGCTCTTTTTGTGGAATCTGCAAGTGGATATTTGGCTAGTTTGGAGGATTTCGTTGGAAGCGGGAATTCATACAAATTGCAGACTGCAGCGTTCTGAGAAACATCTTTGTGATGTTTGTATTCAGGACACAGAGTTGAACATTCCCTATCATAGAGCAGGTTGGAATCACTCCTTTTGTAGTATCTGGAAGTGGACATTTGGAGCGCTTTCAGGCCTATGTTGGAAAAGGAAATATCTTCCCATAACAACTAGACAGAAGCATTCTCAGAAACTTATTTGAGATGTGTGTACTCAACTAAGAGAATTGAACCACCGTTTTGAAGGAGCAGTTTTGAAACACTCTTTTTCTGGAATCTGCAAGTGGATATTTGGCTAGCTTTGGGGATTTCGCTGGAAGCGGGAATACATATAAAAAGCACACAGCAGCGTTCTGAGAAACTGCTTTCTGATGTTTGCATTCAAGTCAAATTTGAACACTCCCTTTCATAGAGCAGTCTTGAAACACTCCTTTTGTAGTATCTGGAACTGGACATTTCGGGCGCTTTCAGGGCTAAGGTGAAAAAGAAAATATCTTCCCATAAAAACTGGACAGAAGCATTCTCAGAAACTTGTTTATGCTGTATCTACTCAACTAACAAAGTTGAACCTTTCTTTTGATAGAGCAGTTTTGAAATGGTCTTTTTGTGGAATCTGCAAGTGGATATTTGGCTAGTTTTGAGGATTTCGTTGGAAGCGGGAATTCATACAAATTGCAGACTGCAGCGTTCTGAGAAACATCTTTGTGATGTTTGTATTCAGGACACAGAGTTGAACATTCCCTATCATAGAGCAGGTTGGAATCACTCCTTTTGTAGTATCTGGAAGTGGACATTTGGAGCGCTTTCAGGCCTATTTTGGAAAGGGAAATATCTTCCCGTAACAACTATGCAGAAGCATTCTCAGAAACTTGTTTGTGATGTGTGCCCTCTACTGACAGAGTTGAACCTTTCTTTTCATAGAGCAGTTTTGAAACACTCTTTTTGTAGAATCTGCAAGAGGATATTTGCATAGCTTTGAGGATTTCGTGGGAAACGGGATTGTCTTCAGGTAAAATCTAGATAGAAGCATTCTCAGAAACTTTTTTGGGATGTTTGCATTCAAGTCACAGAGTAGAACATTCCCTTTGGTAGAGCAGGTTTGAAACACTCTTTTTGTAGTATCTGGAAGTGGACATTTGGAGCACTATCAGGCCCATGTTGGAAAGGGAAATATCTTCCCGTAACAACTAGGCAGAAGCATTCTCAGAAACTTATTTGAGATGTGTGTACTCAACTAAGAGAATTGAACCACCGTTTTGAAGGAGCAGTTTTGAAACACTCTTTTTCTGGAATCTGCAAGAGTATATTTGCCTAGCCTTGAGGATTTCGTTGGAAACGGGATTGTCTTCAGATAAAATCTAGACAGAAGCATTCTCAGAAACTTCTTTGGGATGTTTGCATTCAAGTCACAGAGTAGAACATTCCCTTTGGTAGAGCAGGTTTGAAACACTCTTTTTTTAGTATATGGAAGGACATTTGGAGCGCTTTCAGGCCTACGTTGGAAAAGGAAATCTCTTCCCATAACAACTAGACAGAAGCATTCTCAGAAACTACTTTCTGATATGTGTCCTCAACTAACACAGTTGAACTTTTCTTTAGACAGAACAGTTTTGAAACACTCTTTTTGTGGAATCTGCAAGTGGATATTGGGCTAGATTTGAGGATTTCGTTGGAAACGGGATTACATATAAAAAGCAGACAGCAGCATTCTCAGAAAGTTCTTTGTGATGATTGCATTCAAGTCACAGAATTGAACATTCCCTTTCACAGAGCAGGTTTGAAACACTCTTTTTGTAGTGTGTGTAAGTGGACATTTGGAGCGCTTTCCGGCCTAAGGTGAAAAAGGACATATCTTCCCATAAAAACTAGACAGAAGCATTCTCAGAAACTTACTCGTGATGTGTGTCCTCAACTAAAGGAGTAGAACCTTTCTATTCATAGAGAAGTTTTGAAACGCTCTTTTTGTGGAATCTCCAAGTGGATATTTGGCTAGTTTTGAGGATTTCGTTGGAAGCGGGAATTCATACAAATTGCAGACTGCAGCGTTCTGAGAAACATCTTTGTGATGTTTGTATTCAGGACACAGAGTTGAACATTCCCTATCATAGAGCAGGTTGGAATCACTCCTTTTGTAGTATCTGGAAGTGGACATTTGGAGCGCTTTCAGGCCTATTTTGGAAAGGGAAATATCTTCCCGTAACAACTATGCAGAAGCATTCTCAGAAACTTGTTTGTGATGTGTGCCCTCTACTGACAGAGTTGAACCTTTCTTTTCATAGAGCAGTTTTGAAACACTCTTTTTGTAGAATCTGCAAGAGGATATTTGCATAGCTTTCAGGATTTCGTGGGAAACGGGATTGTCTTCAGGTAAAATCTAGACAGAAGCATTCTCAGAAACTTCTTTGGGATGTTTGCATTCAAGTCACAGAGTAGAACATTCCCTTTGGTAGAGCAGGTTTGAAACACTCTTTTTGTAGTATCTGGAAGTGGACATTTGGAGCGCTTTCAGGCCCATGTTGGAAAGGGAAATATCTTCCCGTAACAACTAGGCAGAAGCATTCTCAGAAACTTATTTGAGATGTGTGTACTCAACTAAGAGAATTGAACCACCGTTTTGAAGGAGCAGTTTTGAAACACTCTTTTTCTGGAATCTGCAAGAGTATATTTGCCTAGCCTTGAGGATTTCGTTGGAAACGGGATTGTCTTCAGAGAAAATCTAGACAGAAGCATTCTCAGAAACTTCTTTGGGATGTTTGCATTCAAGTCACAGAGTAGAACATTCCCTTTAGTAGAGCAGGTTTGAAACACTCTTTTTGTAGTATCTGGAAGTGGACATTTGGAGCGCTTTCAGGCCTACGTTGGAAAAGGAAATATCTTCCCATAACAACTAGACAGAAGCATTCTCAGAAACTAGTTTCTGATGTGTGTCCTCAACTAACAGAGTTGAACATTTCTTTAGACAGAACAGTTTTGAAACACTCTTTTTGTGGAATCTGCAAGTGGCTATTTGGCTAGATTTGAGGATTTCGTTGGAAACGGGATTACATATAAAAAGCAGCCAGCAGCATTCTCAGAAACTTCTTTGTGATGATTGCATTCAAGTCACAGAATTGAACATTCCCTTTCACAGAGCAGGTTTGAAACACTCTTCTTGTAGTGTGTGTAAGTGGACATTTGGGACGCTTTTCGGCCTAAGGTGAACAAGGAAATATCTTCCCATAAAAACTAGACAGAAGCATTCTCAGAAACTTACTCGTGATGTGTGTCCTCAACTAAAGGAGTAGAACCTTTCTTTTCATAGAGAAGTTTTGAAACGCTCTTTTTGTGGAATCTGCAAGTGGATATTTGGCTAGTTTTGAGGATTTCGTTGGAAGCGGGAATTCATACAAATTGGCAGACTGCAGCGTTCTGAGAAACTGCTTTCTGATGTTTGCATTCAAGTCAAAAGTTGAACACTCCCTTTCATAGTGCAGTCCTGAAACACTCCTTTTGTAGTATCTGGAACTGGACTTTTGGAGCGCTTTCAGGGCTAAGGTGAAAAAGGAAATATCTTCCCATAAAAACTGGACAGAAGCATTCTCAGAAACTTGTTTATGCTGTATCTACTCAACTAACAAAGTTGAACCTTTCTTTTGATAGAGCAGTTTTGAAATGCTCTTTTTGTGGAATCTGCAAGTGGATATTTGGCTAGTTTTGAGGATTTCGTTGGAAGCGGGAATTCATACAAATTGCAGACTGCAGCGTTCTGAGAAACATCTTTGTGATGTTTGTATTCAGGACAGAGAGTTGAACATTCCCTATCATAGAGCAGGTTGGAATCACTCCTTTTGTAGTATCTGGAAGTGGACATTTGGAGCGCTTTCAGGCCTATGTTGAAAAAGGAAATATCTTCCCATAACAACTAGACACAAGCATTCTCAGAAACTTGTTTGTGATGTGTGCCCTCTACTGACAGAGTTGAACCTTTCTTTTCATAGAGCAGTTTTGAAACACTCTTTTTGTAGAATCTGCAAGAGGATATTTGCATAGCTTTGAGGATTTCGTGGGAAACGGGATTGTCTTCAGGTAAAATCTAGACAGAAGCATTCTCAGAAACTTCTTTGGGATGTTTGCATTCAAGTCACAGAGTAGAACATTCCCTTTGGTAGAGCAGGTTTGAAACACTCTTTTTGTAGTATCTGGAAGTGGACATTTGGAGCGCTTTCAGGCCTATGTTGGAAAGGGAAATATCTTCCCTTAACAACTAGGCAGAAGCATTCTCAGAAACTTATTTGAGATGTGTGTACTCAACTAAGAGAATTGAACCACCGTTTTGAAGGACCAGTTTTGAAACACTCTTTTTCTGGAATCTGCAAGAGGATATTTGCCTAGCTTTGAGGATTTCGTTGGAAACGGGATTGTTTTCAGATAAAATCTAGACAGAAGCATTCTCAGAAACTTCTTTGGGATGTTTGCATTCAAGTCACAGAGTAGAACATTCCCTTTGGTAGAGCAGGTTTGAAACACTCTTTTTGTAGTATCTGGAAGCAGACATTTGGAGCGCTTTCAGGCCTATGTTGGAAAGGGAAATATCTTCCCTTAACAACTAGGCAGAAGCATTCTCAGAAACTAGTTTCTGATGTGTGTCCTCAACTAACACAGTTGAACATTTCTTTAGACAGAACAGTTTTGAAACACTCTTTTTGTGGAATCTGCAAGTGGATATTTGGCTAGATTTGAGGATTTCGTTGGAAACGGGATTACATATAAAAAGCAGACAGCAGCATTCTCAGCAAACTTCTTTGTGATGATTGCATTCAAGTCACAGAATTGAACATTCCCTTTCACAGAGCAGGTTTGAAACACTCTTTTTGTAGTGTGTGTAAGTGGACATTTGGAGCGCTTTCCGGCCTAAGGTGAACAAGGAAATATCTTCCCATAAAAACTAGACAGAAGCATTCTCAGAAACTTACTCGTGATGTGTGTCCTCAACTAAAGGAGTAGAACCTTTCTTTTCATAGAGAAGTTTTGAAACGCTCTTTTTGTGGAATCTGCAAGTGGATATTTGGCTAGTTTGGAGGATTTCGTTGGAAGCGGGAATTCATACAAGATGCAGACTGCAGCGTTCTGAGAAACATCTTTGTGATGTTTGTATTCAGGACACAGAGTTGAACATTTCCTATCATAGAGCAGGTTTGAATCACTCCTTTTGTAGTATCTGGAAGTGGACATTTGGAGCGCTTTCAGGCCTATGTTGGAAAAGGAAATATCTTCCCATAACAACTAGACAGAAGCATTCTCAGAAACTTATTTGAGATGTGTGTACTCAACTAAGAGAATTGAACCACCGTTTTGAAGGAGCAGTTTTGAAACACTCTTTTTCTGGAATCTGCAAGTGGATATTTGGCTAGCTTGGGGATTTCGCTGGAAGCGGGAATACATATAAAAAGCACACAGCCAGCGTTCTGAGCAAACTGCTTTCTGATGTTTGCATTCAAGTCAAAAGTTGAACACTCCCTTTCATAGAGCAGTCTTGAAACACCCCTTTTGTAGTATCTGGAACTGGACTTTTGGAGCGATTTCAGGGCTAAGGTGAAAAAGGAAATATCTTCCCATAAAAACTGGACAGAAGCATTCTCAGAAACTTGTTTATGCTGTATCTACTCAACTAACAAAGTTGAACCTTTCTTTTGATAGAGCAGTTTTGAAATGGTCTTTTTGTGGAATCTGCAAGTGGATATTTGGCTAGTTTTGAGGATTTCGTTGGAAGCGGGAATTCATACAAATTGCAGACTGCAGCGTTCTGAGAAACATCTTTGTGATGTTTGTATTCAGGACACAGAGTTGAACATTCCCTATCATAGAGCAGGTTGTAATCACTCCTTTTGTAGTATCTGGAAGTGGACATTTGGAGCGCTTTCAGGCCCATGTTGGAAAAGGAAATATCTTCCTGTAACAACTAGGCAGAAGCATTCTCAGAAACTTATTTGAGATGTGTGTACTCAACTAAGAGAATTGAACCACCGTTTTGAAGGAGCAGTTTTGAAACACTCTTTTTCTGGAATCTGCAAGAGTATATTTGCCTAGCCTTGAGGATTTCGTTGGAAACGGGATTGTCTTCAGAGAAAATCTAGACAGAAGCATTCTCAGAAACTTCTTTGGGATGTTTGCATTCAAGTCACAGAGTAGAACATTCCCTTTGGTAGAGCAGGTTTGAAACACTCTTTTTTTAGTATATGGAAGTGGACATTTGGAGCGCTTTCAGGCCTACGTTGGAAAAGGAAATATCTTCCCATAACAACTAGACAGAAGCATTCTCAGAAACTAGTTTCTGATGTGTGTCCTCAACTAACACAGTTGAACATTTCTTTAGACAGAACAGTTTTGAAACACTCTTTTTGTGGAATCTGCAAGTGGATATTTGGCTACATTTGAGGATTTCGTTGGAAACGGGATTACATATAAAAAGCAGACAGCAGCATTCTCAGAAACTTCTTTGTGATGATTGCCTTCAAGTCACAGAATTGAACATTCCTTTTCACAGAGCAGGTTTGAAACACTCTTTTTCTAGTGTGTGTAAGTGGACATTTGGAGCGCTTTCCGGCCTAAGGTGAACAAGGAAATATCTTCCCATAAAAACTAGACAGAAGCATTCTCAGAAACTTACTCGTGATGTGTGTCCTCAACTAAAGGAGTAGAACCTTTCTTTTCATAGAGAAGTTTTGAAACGCTCTTTTTGTGGAATCTGCAAGTGGATATTTGGCTAGTTTGGAGGATTTCGTTGGAAGCGGGAATTCATACAAATTGCAGACTGCAGCGTTCTGAGAAACATCTTTGTGATGTTTGTATTCAGGACACAGAATTGAACATTCCCTATCATAGAGCAGGTTTGAATCACTCCTTTTGTAGTATCTGGAAGTGGACATTTGGAGCGCTTTCAGGCCTATGTTGGAAAAGGAAATATCTTCCCATAACAACTAGACAGAAGCATTCTCAGAAACTTATTTGAGATGTGTGTACTCAACTAAGAGAATTGAACCACCGTTTTGAAGGAGCAGTTTTGAAACACTCTTTTTCTGGAATCTGCAAGTGGATATTTGGCTAGCTTTGGGGATTTCGCTGGAAGCGGGAATACATATAAAAAGCACACAGCAGCGTTCTGAGAAACTGCTTTCTGATGTTTGCATTCAAGTCAAAAGTTGAACACTCCCTTTCATAGAGCAGTCTTGAAACACCCCTTTTGTAGTATCTGGAACTGGACTTTTGGAGCGATTTCAGGGCTAAGGTGAAAAAGGAAATATCTTCCCATAAAAACTGGACAGAAGCATTCTCAGAAACTTGTTTATGCTGTATCTACTCAACTAACAAAGTTGAACCTTTCTTTTGATAGAGCAGTTTTGAAATGGTCTTTTTGTGGAATATGCAAGTGGATATTTGGCTAGTTTTGAGGATTTCGTTGGAAGCGGGAATTCATACAAATTGCAGACTGCAGCGTTCTGAGAAACATCTTTGTGATGTTTGTATTCAGGACACAGAGTTGAACATTCCCTATCATAGAGCAGGTTGGAATCACTCCTTTTGTAGTATCTGGAAGTGGACATTTGGAGCGCTTTCAGGCCTATTTTGGAAAGGGAAATATCTTCCCGTAACAACTATGCAGAAGCATTCTCAGAAACTTGTTTGTGATGTGTGCCCTCTACTGACAGAGTTGAACCTTTCTTTTCATAGAGCAGTTTTGAAACACTCTTTTTGTAGAATCTGCAAGAGGATATTTGCATAGCTTTGAGGATTTCGTGGGAAACGGGATTGTCTTCAGGTAAAATCTAGACAGAAGCATTCTCAGAAACTTCTTTGGGATGTTTGCATTCAAGTCACAGAGTAGAACATTCCCTTTGGTAGAGCAGGTTTCAAACACTCTTTTTGTAGTATCTGGAAGTGGACATTTGGAGCGCTTTCAGGCCCATGTTGGAAAGGGAAATATCTTCCCGTAACAACTAGGCAGAAGCATTCTCAGAAACTTATTTGAGATGTGTGTACTCAACTAAGAGAATTGAACCACCGTTTTGAAGGAGCAGTTTTGAAACACTCTTTTTCTGGAATCTGCAAGAGTATATTTGCCTAGCCTTGAGGATTTCGTTGGAAACGGGATTGTCTTCAGATAAAATCTAGACAGAAGCATTCTCAGAAACTTCTTTGGGATGTTTGCATTCAAGTCACAGAGTAGAACATTCCCTTTGGTAGAGCAGGTTTGAAACACTCTTTTTTTAGTATATGGAAGTGGACATTTGGAGCACTTTCAGGCCTACGTTGGAAAAGGAAATATCTTCCCATAACAACTAGACAGAAGCATTCTCAGAAACTAGTTTCTGATGTGTGTCCTCAACTAACACAGTTGAACTTTTCTTTAGACAGAACAGTTTTGAAACACTCTTTTTGTGGAATCTGCAAGTGGCTATTTGGCTAGATTTGAGGATTTCGTTGGAAACGGGATTACATATAAAAAGCAGACAGCAGCATTCTCAGAAAGTTCTTTGTGATGATTGCATTCAAGTCACAGAATTGAACATTCCCTTTCACAGAGCAGGTTTGAAGCACTCTTTCTGTAGTGTGTGTAAGTGGACATTTGGAGCGCTTTCCGGCCTAAGGTGAAAAAGGACATATCTTCCCATAAAAACTAGACAGAAGCATTCTCAGAAACTTACTCGTGATGTGTGTCCTCAACTAAAGGAGTAGAACCTTTCTATTCATAGAGAAGTTTTGAAACGCTCTTTTTGTGGAATCTCCAAGTGGATATTTGGCTAGTGTTGAGGATTTCGTTGGAAGCGGGAATTCATACAAATTGCAGACTGCAGCGTTCTGAGAAACATCTTTGTGATGTTTGTATTCAGGACACAGAGAGGAACATTCCCTATCATAGAGCAGGTTGGAATCACTCCTTTTGTAGTATCTGGAAGTGGACATTTGGAGCGCTTTCAGGCCTATGTTGAAAAAGGAAATATCTTCCCATAACAACTAGACACAAGCATTCTCAGAAACTTGTTTGTGATGTGTGCCCTCTACTGACAGAGTTGAACCTTTCTTTTCATAGAGCAGTTTTGAAACACTCTTTTTGTAGAATCCGCAAGAGGATATTTGCATCGCTTTGAGGAATTCGTGGGAAACGGGATTGTCTTCAGGTAAAATCTAGACAGAAGCATTCTCAGAAACTTCTTTGGGATGTTTGCATTCAAGTCACAGAGTAGAACATTCCCTTTGGTAGAGCAGGTTTGAAACAATCTTTTTGTAGTATCTGGAAGTGGACATTTGGAGCGCATTCAAGCCCATGTTGGAAAGGGAAATATATTCCCGTAACAACTAGGCAGAAGCATTCTCAGAAACTTATTTGAGATGTGTGTACTCAACGAAGAGAATTGAACCACCGTTTTGAAGGAGCAGTTTTGAAACCCTCTTTTTCTGGAATCTGAAAGAGTATATTTGCCTAGCCTTGAGGATTTCGTTGGAAACGGGATTGTCTTCAGATAAAATCTAGACAGAAGCATTCTCAGAAACTTCTTTGGGATGTTTGCATTCAAGTCACAGAGTAGATCATTCCCTTTGGTAGAGCAGGTTTGAAACACTCTTTTTTTAGTATATGGAAGTGGACATTTGGAGCGCTTTCAGGCCTACGTTGGAAAAGGAAATATCTTCCCACAACAACTAGACAGAAGCATTCTCAGAAACTAGTTTCTGATGTGTGTCCTCAACTAACACAGTTGAACATTTCTTTAGACAGAACAGTTTTGAAACACTCTTTTTGTGGAATTTGCAAGTGGATATTTGGCTAGATTTGAGCATTTCGTTGGAAACGGGATTACATATAAAAAGCAGACAGCAGCATTCTCAGAAAGTTCTTTGTGATGATTGCATTCAAGTCACAGAATTGAACATTCCCTTTCACAGAGCAGGTTTGAAACACTCTTTTTGTAGTGTGTGTAAGTGGACATTTGGAGCGCTTTCCGGCCTAAGGTGAAAAAGGAAATATCTTCCCATAAAAACTAGACAGAAACATTCTCAGAAACTTATTCGTGATGTGTGTCCTCAACTAAAGGAGTAGAACCTTTCTATTCATAGAGAAGTTTTGAAACGCTCTTTTTGTGCAATCTCCAAGTGGATATTTGGCTAGTTTTGAAGATTTCGTTGGAAGCGGGAATTCATACAAATTGCAGACTGCAGCGTTCTGAGAAACATCTTTGTGATGTTTGTATTCAGGACACAGAGATGAACATTCCCTATCATACAGCAGGTTGGAATCACTCCTTTTGTAGTATCTGGAAGTGGACATTTGGAGCGCTTTCAGGCCTATGTTGAAAAAGGAAATATCTTCCCATAACAACTAGACACAAGCATTCTCAGAAACTTGTTTGTGATGTGTGCCCTCTACTGACAGAGTTGAACGTTTCTTTTCATAGAGCAGTTTTGAAACACTCTTTTTGTAGAATCCGCAAGAGGATATTTGCATAGCTTTGAGGATTTCGTGGGAAACGGGATTGTCTTCAGGTAAAATCTAGACAGAAGCATTCTCAGAAACTTCTTTGGGATGTTTGCATTCAAGTCACAGAGTAGAACATTCCCTTTGGTAGAGCAGGTTTGAAACACTCTTTTTGTACTATCTGGAAGTGGACATTTGGAGCGCTTTCAGGACCGTGTTGGAAAGGGAAATATCTTCCCGTAACAACTAGGCAGAAGCATTCTCAGAAACTTATTTGAGATGTGTGTACTCAACTAAGAGAATTGAACCACCGTTTTGAAGGAGCAGTTTTGAAACCCTCTTTTTCTGGAATCTGCAAGAGTATATTTGCCTCGCCTTGAGGATTTCGTTGGAAACGGGATTGTCTTCAGATAAAATCTAGACAGAAGCATTCTCAGAAACTTCTTTGGGATGTTTGTATTCAAGTCACAGAGTAGAACATTCCCTTTGGTAGAGCAGGTTTGAAACACTCTTTTTTTAGCATATGGAAATGGACATTTGGAGCGCTTTCAGGCCTACGTTGGAAAAGGAAATATCTTCCCATAACAACTAGACAGAAGTATTCTCAGAAACTAGTTTCTGATGTGTGTCCTCAACTAACACATTTGAACTTTTCTTTAGACAGAACAGTTTTGAAACACTCTTTTTGTGGAATCTGCAAGTGGATATTTGGCTATATTTGAGGATTTCGGTGGAAACGGGATTACATATAAAAAGCAGACAGCCAGCATTCTCAGAAAGTTCTTTGTGATGATTGCATTCAAGTCACAGAATTGAACATTCCCTTTCACAGAGCAGGTTTGAAACACTCTTTTTGTAGTGTGTGTAAGTGGACATTTGGAGCACTTACCGGCCTAAGGTGAAAAAGGAAATATCTTCCCATAAAAACTAGACAGAGCATTCTCAGAAACTTACTCGTGATGTGTGTCCTCAACTAAAGGAGTAGAACCTTTCTTTTCATAGAGAAGTTTTGAAACGCTCTTTTTGTGGAATCTGCAAGTGGATATTTGGCTAGTTTGGAGGATTTCGTTGGAAGCGGGAATTCATACAAATTGCAGACTGCAGCGTTCTGAGAAACATCTTTGTGATGTTTGTATTCAGGACACAGAGTTGAACATTCCCTATCATAGAGCAGGTTGGAATCACTCCTTTTGTAGTATCTGGAAGTGGACATTTGGAGTGCTTTCAGGCCTATGTTGGAAAAGGAAATATCTTCCCATAACAACTAGACAGAAGCATTCTCAGAAACTTATTTGAGATGTGTGTACTCAACTAAGAGAATTGAACCACCGTTTTGAAGGAGCAGTTTTGAAACACTCTTTTTCTGGAATCTGCAAGTGGATATTTGGCTAGCTTTGGGGATTTCGCTGGAGGCGGGAATACATATAAAAAGCACACAGCAGCGTTCTGAGAAACTGCTTTCTGATGTTTGCATTCAAGTCAAAAGTTGAACACTCCCTTTCATAGAGCAGTCCTGAAACACTCCTTTTGTAGTATCTGGAACTGGACTTTTGGAGCGCTTTCAGGGCTAAGGTGAAAAAGGAAATATCTTCCCATAAAAACTGGACAGAAGCATTCTCAGAAACTTGTTTATGCTGTATCTGCTCAACTAACAAAGTTGAACCTTTCTTTTGATAGAGCAGTTTTGAAATGCTCTTTTTGTGGAATCTGCAAGTGGATATTTGGCTAGTTTTGAGGATTTCGTTGGAAGCGGGAATTCATACAAATTGCAGACTGCAGCGTTCTGAGAAACATCTTTGTGATGTTTGTATTCAGGACACAGAGTTGAACATTCCCTATCATAGAGCAGGTTGGGATCACTCCATTTGTAGTATCTGGAAGTGGACATTTGGAGCGCTTTCAGGCCTATGTTGAAAAAGGAAAAATCTTCCCATAACAACTAGACAGAAGCATTCTCAGAAACTTGTTTGTGATGTGTGCCCTCTACTGACACAGTTGAATCTTTCTTTTCATAGAGCAGTTTCGAAACACTCTTTTTGTAGAATCTGCAAGAGGATATTTGCATAGCTTTGAGGATTTCGTGGGAAACGGGATTGTCTTCAGGTAAAATCTAGACAGAAGCATTCTCAGAAACTTCTTTGGGATGTTTGCATTCAAGTCACAGAGTAGAACATTCCCTTTGGTAGAGCAGGTTTGAAACACTCTTTTTGTAGTGTGTGTAAGTGGACATTTGGAGCGCTTTCTGGCCTACGTTGGAAAAGGAAATATCTTCCCATAACAACTAGACAGAAGCATTCTCAGAAACTAGTTTCTGATGTGTGTCCTCAACTAACACAGTTGAACATTTCTTTAGACAGAACAGTTTTGAAACACTCTTTTTGTGGAATCTGCAAGTGGCTATTTGGCTAGATTTGAGGATTTCGTTGGAAACGGGATTACATATAAAAAGCAGTCAGCAGCATTCTCAGAAAGTTCTTTGTGATGATTGCATTCAAGTCACAGAATTGAACATTCCCTTTCACAGAGCAGGTTTGAAACACTCTTTTTGTAGTGTGTGTAAGTGGACATTTGGAGCACTTACCGGCCTAAGGTGAAAAAGGAAATATCTTCCCATAAAAACTAGACAGAAGCATTCTCAGAAACTTACTCGTGATGTGTGTCCTCAACTAAAGGAGTAGAACCTTTCTTTTCATAGAGAAGTTTTGAAACGCTCTTTTTGTGGAATCTGCAAGTGGATATTTGGCTAGTTTTGAGGATTTCGTTGGAAGCGGGAATTCATACAAATTGCAGACTGCAGCGTTCTGAGAAACATCTTTGTGATGTTTGTATTCAGGACAGAGAGTTGAACATTCCCTATCATAGAGCATGTTGGAATCACTCCTTTTGTAGTATCTGGAAGTGGACATTTGGAGCGCTTTCAGGCCTATGTTGAAAAAGGAAATATCTTCCCATAACAACTAGACACAAGCATTCTCAGAAACTTATTTGAGATGTGTGTACTCAACTAAGAGAATTGAACCACCGTTTTGAAGGAGCAGTTTTGAAACACTCTTTTTCTGGAATCTGCAAGTGGATATTTGGCTAGCTTTGGGGATTTCGCTGGAAGCGGGAATACATATAAAAAGCACACAGCAGCGTTCTGAGAAACTGCTTTCTGATGTTTGCATTCAAGTCAAAAGTTGAACACTCCCTTTCATAGTGCAGTCCTGAACCACTCCTTTTGTAGTATCTGGAACTGGACTTTTGGAGCGCTTTCAGGGCTAAGATGAAAAAGGAAATATCTTCCCATAAAAACTGGACAGAAGCATTCTCAGAAACTTGTTTATGCTGTATCTACTCAACTAACAAAGTTGAACCTTTCTTTTGATAGAGCAGTTTTGAAATGCTCTTTTTGTGGAATCTGCAAGTGGATATTTGGCTAGTTTTGAGGATTTCGTTGGAAGCGGGAATTCATACAAATTGCAGACTGCAGCGTTGTGAGAAACATCTTTGTGATGTTTGTATTCAGGACACAGAGTTGAACATTCCCTATCATAGAGCAGGTTGGAATCACTCCTTTTGTAGTATCTGGAAGTGGACATTTGGAGCGCTTTCAGGCCTATGTTGGAAAAGGAAATATCTTCCCATAACAACTAGACAGAAGCATTCTCAGAAACTTACTCGTGATGTGTGTCCTCCACTAAATGAGTAGAACCTTTCTTTTCATAGAGAAGTTTTGAAACGCTCTTTTTGTAGAATCTGCAAGAGGATATTTGCATAGCTTTGAGGATTTCGTGGGAAACGGGATTGTCTTCAGGTAAAATCTAGACAGAAGCATTCTCAGAAACTTCTTTGGGATGTTTGCATTCAAGTCACAGAGTAGAACATTCCCTTTGGTAGAGCAGGTTTGAAACACTCTTTTTGTAGTATCTGGAAGTGGACATTTGGAGCGCTTTCAGGCCTATGTTGGAAAGGGAAATATCTTCCCGTAACAACTAGGCAGAAGCATTCTCAGAAACTTATTTGAGATGTGTGTACTCAACTAAGAGAATTGAATCACCGTTTTGAAGGAGCAGTTTTGAAACACTCTTTTTCTGGAATCTGCAAGAGGATATTTGCCTAGCCTTGAGGATTTCGTTGGAAACGGGATTGTCTTTAGATCAAATCTAGACAGAAGCATTCTCAGAAACTTCTTTGGGATGTTTGCATTCAAGTCACAGAGTAGAACATTCCCTTTGGTAGAGCAGGTTTGAAACACTCTTTTTTTAGTATATGGAAGTGGACATTTGGAGCGCTTTCAGGCCTACGTTGGAAAAGGAAATATCTTCCCATAACAACTAGACAGAAGCTTTCTCAGAAACTAGTTTCTGATGTGTGTCCTCAACTAACACAGTTGAACATTTCTTTAGACAGAACAGTTTTGAAACTCTCTTTTTGTGGAATCTGCAAGTGGCTATTTGGCTAGATTTGAGGATTTCGTTGGAAACGGGATTACATATAAAAAGCAGACAGCAGCATTCTCAGAAAGTTCTTTGTGATGATTGCATTCAAGTCACAGAATTGAACATTCCCTTTCACAGAGCAGGTTTGAAACACTCTTTTTATAGTGTGTGTAAGTGGACATTTGGAGCACTTTCCGGCCTAAGGTGAAAAAGGAAATATCTTCCCATAAAAACTAGACAGAAGCATTCTCAGAAACTTACTCGTGATGTGTGTCCTCAACTAAAGGAGTAGAACCTTTGTTTTCATAGAGAAGTTTTGAAACGCTCTTTTTGTGGAATCTGCAAGTGGATATTTGGCTAGTTTGGAGGATTTCGTTGGAAGCGGGAATTCATACAAATTGCAGACTGCAGCGTTCTGAGAAACATCTTTGTGATGTTTGTATTCAGGACACAGAGTTGAACATTCCCTATCATAGAGCAGGTTGGAATCACTCCTTTTGTAGTATCTGGAAGTGGACATTTGGAGCGCTTTCAGGCCTATGTTGGAAAAGGAAATATCTTCCCATAACAACTAGACAGAAGCATTCTCAGAAACTTATTTGAGATGTGTGTACTCAACTAAGAGAATTGAACCACCGTTTTGAAGGAGCAGTTTTGAAACACTCTTTTTCTGGAATCTGCAAGTGGATATTTGGCTAGCTTTGGGGATTTCGCTGGAAGCGGGAATACATATAAAAAGCACACAGCAGCGTTCTGAGAAACTGCTTTCTGATGTTTGCATTCAAGTCAAAAGTTGAACACTCCCTTTCATAGAGCAGTCTTGAAACACCCCTTTTGTAGTATCTGGAACTGGACATTTGGAGCGCTTTCAGGGCTAAGGTGAAAAAGGAAATATCTTCCCATAAAAACTGGACAGAAGCATTCTCAGAAACTTGTTTATGCTGTATCTGCTCAACTAACAAAGTTGAACCTTTCTTTTGATAGAGCAGTTTTGAAATGCTCTTTTTGTGGAATCTGCAAGTGGATATTTGGCTAGTTTTGAGGATTTCGTTGGAAGCGGGAATTCATACAAATTGCAGACTGCAGCGTTCTGAGAAACATCTTTGTGATGTTTGTATTCAGGACACAGAGTTGAACATTCCCTATCATAGAGCAGGTTGGGATCACTCCTTTTGTAGTATCTGGAAGTGGACATTTGGAGCGCTTTCAGGCCTATGTTGAAAAAGGAAAAATCTTCCCATAACAACTAGACAGAAGCATTCTCAGAAACTTGTTGGTGATGTGTTTCCTCTACTGACAGAGTTGAACCTTTCTTTTCATAGAGCAGTTTCGAAACACTCTTTTTGTAGAATCTGCAAGAGGATATTTGCCTAGCTTTGAGGATTTCGTTGGAAAAGGGATTGTCTTCAGATCAAATCTAGACAGAAGCATTCTCAGAAACTTCTTTGGGATGTTTGCATTCAAGTCACAGAGCAGAACATTCCCTTTGGTAGAGCAGGTTTGAAACACTCTTTTTGTAGTATCTGGAAGTGGACATTTGGAGCGCTTTCAGGCCTATGTTGGAAAGGGAAATATCTTCCCGTAACAACTAGGCAGAAGCATTCTCAGAAACTTATTTGAGATGTGTGTACTCAACTAAGAGAATTGAACCACCGTTTTGAAGGAGCAGTTTTGAAACACTCTTTTTCTGGAAGCTGCAAGAGGATATTTGCCTAGCCTTGAGGATTTCGTTGGAAACGGGATTGTCTTCAGATCAAATCTAGACAGAAGCATTCTCAGAAACTTCTTTGGGATGTTTGCATTCATGTCACAGAGTAGAACATTCCCTTTGGTAGAGCAGGTTTGAAACACTCTTTTTTTAGTATATGGAAGTGGACATTTGGAGCGCTTTCAGGCCTACGTTGGAAAAGGAAATATCTTCCCATAACAACTAGACAGAAGCATTCTCAGAAACTAGTTTCTGATGTGTGTCCTCAACTAACACAGTTGAACATTTCTTTAGACAGAACAGTTTTGAAACACTCTTTTTGTGGAATCTGCAAGTGGCTATTTGGCTAGATTTGAGGATTTCGTTGGAAACGGGATTACATATAAAAAGCAGACAGCAGCATTCTCAGAAAGTTCTTTGTGATGATTGCATTCAAGTCACAGAATTGAACATTCCCTTTCACAGAGCAGGTTTGAAACACTCTTTTTGTAGTGTGTGTAAGTGGACATTTGGAGCACTTACCGGCCTAAGGTGAAAAAGGAAATATCTTCCCATAAAAACTAGACAGAAGCATTCTCAGAAACTTACTCGTGATGTGTGTCCTCAACTAAAGGAGTAGAACCTTTTTTTTCATAGAGAAGTTTTGAAACGCTCTTTTTGTGGAATCTGCAAGTGGATATTTGGCTAGTTTTGAGGATTTCGTTGGAAGCGGGAATTCATACAAATTGCAGACTGCAGCGTTCTGAGAAACTTCTTTGTGAAGTTTGTATTCAGGACACAGAGTTGAACATTCCCTATCATAGAGCAGGTTTGAATCACTCCTTTTGTAGTATCTGGAAGTGGACATTTGGAGCGCTTTCAGGCCTATGTTGGAAAAGGAAATATCTTCCCATAACAAATAGACAGAAGCATTCTCAGAAACTTATTTGAGATGTGTGTACTCAACTAAGAGAATTGAACCACCGTTTTGAAGGAGCAGTTTTGAAACACTCTTTTTCTGGAATCTGCAATTGGATATTTGGCTAGCTTTGGGGATTTCGCTGGAAGCGGGAATACATATAAAAAGCACACAGCAGCGTTCTGAGAAACTTCTTTCTGATGTTCGCATTCAAGTCAAAAGTTGAACACTCCCTTTCATAGAGCAGTCTTGAAACTCCCCTTTTGTGGTATCTGGAAGTGGACATTTGGAGTGCTTTCAGGGCTAAGGTGAAAAAGGAAATATCTTCCCATAAAAACTGGACAGAAGCATTCTCAGAAACTTGTTTATGCTGTATCTACTCAGCTAACAAAGTTGAACCTTTCTTTTGATAGAGCAGTTTTGAAATGCTCTTTTTGTGGAGTCTGCAAGTGGATATTTGGTTAGTTTGGAGGATTTCGTTGGAAGCGGGAATTCATACAAATTGCAGACTGCAGCGTTCTGAGAAACATCTTTGTGATGTTTGTATTCAGGACAGAGAGTTGAACATTCCCTATCATAGAGCAGGTTGGAATCACTCCTTTTGTAGTATCTGGAAGTGGACATTTGGAGCGCTTTCAGGCCTATGTTGAAAAAGGAAATATCTTCCCATAACAACTAGACACAAGCATTCTCAGAAACTTGTTTGTGATGTGTGCCCTCTAGTGACAGAGTTGAACCTTTCTTTTCAAAGAGCAGTTTTGAAACACTCTTTTTGTAGAATCTGCAAGAGGATATTTGCATAGCTTTGAGGATTTCGTGGGAAACGGGATTGTCTTCAGGTAAAATCTAGACAGAAGCATTCTCAGAAACTTCTTTGGGATGTTTGCATTCAAGTCACAGAGTAGAACATTCCCTTTGGTAGAGCAGGTTTGAAACACTCTTTTTGTAGTATCTGGAAGTGGACATTTGGAGCGCTTTCAGGCCCATGTTGGAAAGGGAAATATCTTCCCGTAACAACTAGGCAGAAGCATTCTCAGAAACTTATTTGAGATGTGTGTACTCAACGAAGAGAATTGAACCACCGTTTTGAAGGAGCAGTTTTGAAACCCTCTTTTTCTGGAATCTGCAAGAGTATATTTGCCTAGCCTTGAGGATTTCGTTGGAAACGGGATTGTCTTCAGATAAAATCTAGACAGAAGCATTCTCAGAAACTTCTTTGGGATGTTTGCATTCAAGTCACAGAGTAGAACATTCCCTTTGGTAGAGCAGGTTTGAAACACTCTTTTTTTAGTATATGGAAGTGGACATTTGGAGCACTTTCAGGCCTACGTTGGAAAAGGAAATATCTTCCCATAACAACTAGACAGAAGCATTCTCAGAAACTAGTTTCTGATGTGTGTCCTCAACTAACACAGTTGAACTTTTCTTTAGACAGAACAGTTTTGAAACACTCTTTTTGTGGAATCTGCAAGTGGATATTTGGCTAGATTTGAGGATTTCGTTGGAAACGGGATTACATATAAAAAGCAGACAGCAGCATTCTCAGAAAGTTCTTTGTGATGATTGCATTCAAGTCACAGAATTGAACATTCCCTTTCACAGAGCAGGTTTGAAAGACTCTTTTTGTAGTGTGTGTAAGTGGACATTTGGAGCACTTACCGGCCTAAGGTGAAAAAGGAAATATCTTCCCATAAAAACTAGACAGAAGCATTCTCAGAAACTTACTCGTGATGTGTGTCCTCAACTAAAGGAGTAGAACCTTTCTATTCATAGAGAAGTTTTGAAACGCTCTTTTTGTGGAATCTCCAAGTGGATATTTGGCTAGTTTTGAGGATTTCGTTGGAAGCGGGAATTCATACAAATTGCAGACTGCAGCGTTCTGAGAAACATCTTTGTGATGTTTGTATTCAGGACACAGAGATGAACATTCCCTATCATAGAGCAGGTTGGAATCACTCCTTTTGTAGTATCTGGAAGTGGACATTTGGAGCGCTTTCAGGCCTATGTTGAAAAAGGAAATATCTTCCCATAACAACTAGACACAAGCATTCTCAGAAACTTATTTGAGATGTGTGTACTCAACTAAGAGAATTGAACCACCGTTTTGAAGGAGCAGTTTTGACACACTCTTTTTCTGGAATCTGCAAGTTGATATTTGGCTAGCTTTGGGGATTTCGCTGGAAGCGGGAATACATATAAAAAGCACACAGCAGCGTTCTGAGAAACTGCTTTCTGATGTTTGCATTCAAGTCAAAAGTTGAACACTCCCTTTCATAGAGCAGTCTTGAAACACCCCTTTTGTAGTATCTGGAACTGGACTTTTGGAGCGATTTCAGGGCTAAGGTGAAAAAGGAAATATCTTCCCATAAAAACTGGACAGAAGCATTCTCAGAAACTTGTTTATGCTGTATCTACTCAACTAACAAAGTTGAACCTTTCTTTTGATAGAGCAGTTTTGAAATGGTCTTTTTGTGGAATCTGCAAGTGGATATTTGGCTAGTTTTGAGGATTTCGTTGGAAGCGGGAATTCATACAAATTGCAGACTGCAGCGTTCTGAGAAACATCTTTGTGATGTTTGTATTCAGGACACAGAGTTGAACATTCCCTATCATAGAGCAGGTTGGAATCACTCCTTTTGTAGTATCTGGAAGTGGACATTTGGAGCGCTTTCAGGCCTATTTTGGAAAGGGAAATATCTTCCCGTAACAACTATGCAGAAGCATTCTCAGAAACTTGTTTGTGATGTGTGCCCTCTACTGACAGAGTTGAACCTTTCTTTTCATAGAGCAGTTTTGAAACACTCTTTTTGTAGAATCTGCAAGAGGATATTTGCATAGCTTTGAGGATTTCGTGGGAAACGGGATTGTCTTCAGGTAAAAATCTAGACAGAAGCATTCTCAGAAACTTCTTTGGGATGTTTGCATTCAAGTCACAGAGTAGAACATTCCCTTTGGTAGAGCAGGTTTGAAACACTCTTTTTATAGTATCTGGAAGTGGACATTTGGAGCGCTTTCAGGCCTATGTTGGAAAGGGAAATATACTTCCCGTAACAACTAGGCAGAAGCATTCTCAGAAACTTATTTGAGATGTGTGTGCTCAACTAAGAGAATTGAACCACCGTTTTGAAGGAGCAGTTTTGAAACACTCTTTTTCTGGAATCTGCAAGAGGATATTTGCCTAGCCTTGAGGATTTCGTTGGAAACGGGATTGTCTTCAGATCAAATCTAGACAGAAGCATTCTCAGAAACTTCTTTGGGATGTTTGCATTCAAGTCACAGAGTAGAACATTCCCTTTGGTAGAGCAGGTTGGAAACACTCTTTTTTTAGTATATGGAAGTGGACATTTGGAGCGCTTTCAGGCCTACGTTGGAAAAGGAAATATCTTCCCATAACAACTAAACAGAAGCATTCTCAGAAACTAGTTTCTGATGTGTTTCCTCAACTAACACAGTTGAACTTTTCTTTAGACAAAACAGTTTTGAAACACTCTTTTTGTGGAATCTGCAAGTGGCTATTTGGCTAGATTTGAGGATTTCGTTGGAAACGGGATTACATATAAAAAGCAGTCAGCAGCATTCTCAGAAAGTTCTTTGTGATGATTGCATTCAAGTCACAGAATTGAACATTCCCTTTCACAGAGCAGGTTTGAAACACTCTTTTTGTAGTGTGTGTAAGTGGACATTTGGAGCACTTACCGGCCTAAGGTGAAAAAGGAAATATCTTCCCATAAAAACTAGACAGAAGCATTCTCAGAAACTTACTCGTGATGTGTGTCCTCAACTAAAGGAGTAGAACCTTTCTTTTCATAGAGAAGTTTTGAAACGCTCTTTTTGTGGAATCTGCAAGTGGATATTTGGCTAGTTTTGAGGATTTCGTTGGAAGCGGGAATTCATACAAATTGCAGACTGCAGCGTTCTGAGAAACATCTTTGTGATGTTTGTATTCAGGACACAGAGTTGAACATTCCCTATCATAGAGCAGGTTGGAATCACTCCTTTTGTAGTATCTGGAAGTGGACATTTGGAGCGCTTTCAGGCCTATGTTGGAAAAGGAAATATCTTCCCATAACAACTAGACAGAAGCATTCTCAGAAACTTATTTGAGATGTGTGTACTCAACTAAGAGAATTGAACCACCGTTTTGAAGGAGCAGTTTTGAAACACTCTTTTTCTGGAATCTGCAAGTGGCTATTTGGCTAGCTTTGGGGATTTCGCTGGAAGCGGGAATACATATAAAAAGCACACAGCAGCGTTCTGAGAAACTGCTTTCTGATGTTTGCATTCAAGTCAAAAGTTGAACACTCCCTTTCATAGAGCAGTCCTGAAACACTCCTTTTGTAGTATCTGGAACTGGACTTTTGGAGCGCTTTCAGGGCTAAGGTGAAAAAGGAAATATCTTCCCATAAAAACTGGACAGAAGCATTCTCAGAAACTTGGTTATGCTGTATCTACTCAACTAACAAAGTTGAACCTTTCTTTTGATAGAGCAGTTTTGAAATGGTCTTTTTGTGGAATCTGCAAGTGGATATTTGGCTAGTTTTGAGGATTTCGTTGGAAGCGGGAATTCATACAAATTGCAGACTGCAGCGTTCTGAGAAACATCTTTGTGATGTTTGTATTCAGGACAGAGAGTTGAACATTCCCTATCATAGAGCAGGTTGGAATCACTCCTTTTGTAGTATCTGGAAGTGGACATTTGGAGCGCTTTCAGGCCTATTTTGGAAAGGGAAATATCTTCCCGTAACAACTATGCAGAAGCATTCTCAGAAACTTGTTTGTGATGTGTGCCCTCTACTGACAGAGTTGAACCTTTCTTTTCATAGAGCAGTTTTGAAACACTCTTTTTGTAGAATCTGCAAGAGGATATTTGCATAGCTTTGAGGATTTCGTGGGAAACGGGATTGTCTTCAGGTAAAATCTAGACAGAAGCATTCTCAGAAACTTCTTTGGGATGTTTGCATTCAAGTCACAGAGTAGAACATTCCCTTTGGTAGAGCAGGTTTGAAACACTCTTTTTGTAGTATCTGGAAGTGGACATTTGGAGCACTTTCAGGCCCATGTTGGAAAGGGAAATATCTTCCCGTAACAACTAGGCAGAAGCATTCTCTGAAACTTTTTTGAGATGTGTGTACTCAACTAAGAGAATTGAACCACCGTTTTGAAGGAGCAGTTTTGAAACACTCTTTTTCTGGAATCTGCTAGAGGATATTTGCCTAGCCTTGAGGATTTCGTTGGAAACGGGATTGTCTTCAGATAAAATCTAGACAGAAGCATTCTCAGAAACTTCTTTGGGATGTTTGTATTCAAGTCACAGAGTAGAACATTCCCTTTGGTAGAGCAGGTTTGAAACACTCTTTTTTTAGTATATGGAAATGGACATTTGGAGCGCTTTCAGGCCTACGTTGGAAAAGGAAATATCTTCCCATAACAACTAGACAGAAGCATTCTCAGAAACTAGTTTCTGATGTGTGTCCTCAACTAACACAGTTGAACTTTTCTTTAGACAGAACAGTTTTGAAACACTCTTTTTGTGGAATCTGCAAGTGGATATTTGGCTAGATTTGAGGATTTCGTTGGAAACGGGATTACATATAAAAAGCAGACAGCAGCATTCTCAGAAAGTTCTTTGTGATGATTGCATTCAAGTCACAGAATTGAACATTCCCTTTCACAGAGCAGGTTTGAAACACTCTTTTTGTAGTGTGTGTAAGTGGACATTTGGAGCGCTTTCCGGCCTAAGGTGAAAAAGGAAATATCTTCCCATAAAAACTAGACAGAAGCATTCTCAGAAACTTACTCGTGATGTGTGTCCTCAACTAAAGGAGTAGAACCTTTCTATTCATAGAGAAGTTTTGAAACGCTCTTTTTGTGGAATCTCCAAGTGGATATTTGGCTAGTTTTGAGGATTTCGTTGGAAGCGGGAATTCATACAAATTGCAGACTGCAGCGTTCTGAGAAACATCTTTGTGATGTTTGTATTCAAGACACAGAGGTGAACATTCCCTATCATAGAGCATGTTGGAGTCACTCCTTTTGTAGTATCTGGAAGTGGACATTTGGAGCGCTTTCAGGCCTATGTTGAAAAAGGAAATATCTTCCCATAACAACTAGACACAAGCATTCTCAGAAACTTATTTGAGATGTGTGTACTCAACTAAGAGAATTGAACCACCGTTTTGAAGGAGCAGTTTTGAAACACTCTTTTTCTGGAATCTGCAAGTGGATATTTGGCTAGCTTTGGGGATTTCGCTGGAAGCGGGAATACATATAAAAAGCACACAGCAGCGTTCTGAGAAACTGTTTTCTGATGTTTGCATTCAAGTCAAAAGTTGAACACTCCCTTTCATAGAGCAGTCTTGAAACACCCCTTTTGTAGTATCTGGAACTGGACATTTGGAGCGCTTTCAGGGCTAAGGTGAAAAAGGAAATATCTTCCCATAAAAACTGGACAGAAGCATTCTCAGAAACTTGTTTATGCTGTATCTACTCCACTAACAAAGTTGAACCTTTCTTTTGATAGAGCAGTTTTGAAATGCTCCTTTTGTGGAATCTGCAAGTGGATATTTGGCTAGTTTTGAGGATTTCGTTGGAAGCTGGAATTCATACAAATTGCAGACTGCCAGCCTTCTGAGAAACATCTTTGTGATGTTTGTATTCAGGACACAGAGATGAACATTCCCTATCATAGAGCAGGTTGGAATCACTCCTTTTGTAGTATCTGGAAGTGGACATTTGGAGCGCTTTCAGGCCTATGTTGAAAAAGGAAATATCTTCCCATAACAACTAGACACAGCATTCTCAGAAACTTGTTTGTGATGTGTGCCCTCTACTGACACAGTTGAACCTTTCTTTTCATAGAGCAGTTTCGAAACACTCTTTTTGTAGAATCTGCAAGAGGATATTTGCTTAGCTTTGAGGATTTCGTGGGAAACGGGATTGTCTTCAGGTAAAATCTAGACAGAAGCATTCTCAGAAACTTCTTTGGGATGTTTGCATTCAAGTCACAGAGTAGAACATTCCCTTTGGTAGAGCAGGTTTGAAACACTCTTTTTGTAGTGTGTGTAAGTGGACATTTGGAACGCTTTCAGGCCTACGTTGGAAAAGGAAATATCTTCCCATAACAACTAGACAGAAGCATTCTCAGAAACTAGTTTCTGATGTGTGTCCTCAACTAACACAGTTGAACATTTCTTTAGACAGAACAGTTTTGAAACACTCTTTTTGTGGAATCTGCAAGTGGATATTTGGCTAGATTTGAGGATTTCGTTGCAAACGGGATTACATATAAAAAGCAGACAGCAGCATTCTCAGAAACTTCTTTGTGATGATTGCATTCAAGTCACAGAATTGAACATTCCCTTTCACAGAGCAGGTTTGAAACACTCTTTTTGTAGTGTGTGTAAGTGGACATTTGGAGCGCTTTCCGGCCTAAGGTGAACAAGGAAATATCTTCCCATAAAAACTAGACAGAAGCATTCTCAGAAACTTACTCGTGATGTGTGTCCTCAACTAAAGGAGTAGAACCTTTCTTTTCATAGAGAAGTTTTGAAACGCTCTTTTTGTGGAATCTGCAAGTGGATATTTGGCTAGTTTGGAGGATTTCGTTGGAAGCGGGAATTCATACAAGATGCAGACTGCAGCGTTCTGAGAAACATCTTTGTGATGTTTGTATTCAGGACACAGAGTTGAACATTCCCTATCATAGAGCAGGTTTGAATCACTCCTTTTGTAGTATCTGGAAGTGGACATTTGGAGCGCTTTCAGGCCTATGTTGGAAAAGGAAATATCTTCCCATAACAACTAGACAGAAGCATTCCCAGAAACTTATTTGAGATGTGTGTACTCAACTATGAGAATTGAACCACCGTTTTGAAGGAGCAGTTTGGAAACACTCTTTTTCTGGAATCTGCAAGTGGATATTTGGCTAGCTTTGGGGATTTCGCTGTAAGCGGGAATACATATAAAAAGCACACAGCAGCGTTCTGAGAAACTGCTTTCTGATGTTTGCATTCAAGTCAAAAGTTGAACACTCCCTTTCATAGAGCAGTCTTGAAACACCCCTTTTGTAGTATCTGGAACTGGAAATTTGGAGCGCCTTCAGGGCTAAGGTGAAAAAGGAAATATCTTGCCATAAAAACTGGACAGAAGCATTCTCAGAAACTTATTTGAGATGTGTGTACTCAACTAAGAGAATTGAACCACCGTTTTGAAGGAGCAGTTTTGAAACACTCTTTTTCTGGAATCTGCAAGTGGATATTTGGCTAGCTTTGGGGATTTCGCTGGAAGCGGGAATACATATAAAAAGCACACAGCAGCGTTCTGAGAAACTGCTTTCTGATGTTTGCATTCAAGTCAAAAGTTGAACACTCCCTTTCATAGAGCAGTCCTGAAACACTCCTTTTGTAGTATCTGGAACTGGACTTTTGGAGCGCTTTCAGGGCTAAGGTGAAAAAGGTAATATCTTCCCATAAAAACTAGACAGAAGCATTCTCAGAAACTTGTTTATGCTGTATCTACTCAACTAACAAAGTTGAACCTTTCTTTTGATAGAGCAGTTTTGAAATGCTCTTTTTGTGGAATCTGCAAGTGGATATTTGGCTAGTTTTGAGGATTTCGTTGGAAGCGGGAATTCATACAAATTGCAGACTGCAGCGTTCTGAGAAACATCTTTGTGATGTTTTTATTCAGGAAACAGAGTTGAACATTCCCTGTCCTAGAGCAGGTTGGAATCACTCCTTTTGTAGTATCTGGAAGTGGACATTTGGAGCGCTTTCAGGCCTATTTTGGAAAGGGAAATATCTTCCCATAACAACTATGCAGAAGCATTCTCAGAAACTTGTTTGTGATGTGTGCCCTCTACTGACAGATTTGAACCTTTCTTTTCATAGAGCAGTTTTGAAACACTCTTTTTGTAGAATCTGCAAGAGGATATTTGCATAGCTTTGAGGATTTCGTGGGAAACGGGATTGTCTTCAGGTAAAATCTAGACAGAAGGATTCTCAGAAACTTCTTTGGGATGTTTGCATTCAAGTCACAGAGTAGAACATTCCCTTTGGTAGAGCAGGTTTGAAACACTCTTTTTGTAGTATCTGGAAGTGGACATATGGAGCGCTTTCAGGCTCATGTTGGAAAGGGAAATATCTTCCCTTAACAACTAGGCAGAAGCATTCTCAGAAACTTATTTGAGATGTGTGTACTCAACTAAGAGAATTGAACCACCGTTTTGAAGGAGCAGTTTTGAAACACTCTTTTTCTGGGTTCTGCAAGAATATATTTGCCTAGCCTTGAGGATTTCGTTGGAAACTGGATTGTCTTCAGATAAAATCTAGACAGAAGCATTCTCAGAAACTTCTTTGGGATGTTTGCATTCAAGTCACAGAGTAGAACATTCCCTTTGGTAGAGCAGGTTTGAAACACTCTTTTTTTAGTATATGGAAGTGGACATTTGGAGCGCTTTCAGGCCTACGTTGGAAAAGGAAATATCTTCCCATAACAATTAGACAGAAGCATTCTCAGTAAACTAGTTTCTGATGTGTGTCCTCAACTAACACAGTTGAACATTTCTTTAGACAGAACAGTTTTGGAACACTCTTTTTGTGGAATCTGCAAGTGGATAGTTGGCTAGATTTGAGGATTTCGTTGGAAACGGGATTACATATAAAAAGCAGTCAGCAGCATTCTCAGAAAGTTCTTTGTGATGATTGCATTCAAGTCACAGAATTGAACATTCCCTTTCACAGAGCAGGTTTGAAACACTCTTTATGTAGTGTGTGTAAGTGGATATTTGGAGCACTTACCGGCCTAAGGTGAACAAGGAAATATCTTCCCATAAAAACTAGACAGAAGCATTCTCAGAAACTTACTCGTGATGTGTGTCCTCAACTAAAGGTGTAGAACCTTTCTTTTCATAGAGAAGTTTTGAAACGCTCTTTTTGTGGAATCTGCAAGTGGATATTTGGCTAGTTTTGAGGATTTCGTTGGAAGCGGGAATTCATACAAATTGCAGACTGCAGCGTTCTGAGAAACATCTTTGTGATGTTTGTATTCAGGACACAGAGTTGAACATTCCCTATCATAGAGCAGGTTTGAATCACTCCTTTTGTAGTATCTGGAAGTGGACATTTGGAGCGCTTTCAGGCCTATGTTGGAAAAGGAAATATCTTCCCATAACAACTAGACAGAAGCATTCTCAGAAACTTATTTGAGATGTGTGTACTCAACTAAGAGAATTGAACCACCGTTTTGAAGGAGCAGTTTTGAAACACTCTTTTTCTGGAATCTGCAAGTGGATATTTGGCTAGCTTTGGGGATTTCGCTGGAAGCGGGAATACATATAAAAAGCACACAGCAGCGTTCTGAGAAACTGCTTTCTGATGTTTGCATTCAAGTCAAAAGTTGAACACTCCCTTTCATAGTGCAGTCCTGGAACACTCCTTTTGTAGTATCTGGAACTGGACTTTTGGAGCGCTTTCAGGGCTAAGGTGAAAAAGGAAATATCTTCCCATAAAAACTGGACAGAAGCATTCTCAGAAACTTGTTTATGCTGTATCTACTCAACTAACAAAGTTGAACCTTTCTTTTGATAGAGCAGTTTTGAAATGCTCTTTTTGTGGAATCTGCAAGTGGATATTTGGCTAGTTTTGAGGATTTCGTTGGAAGCGGGAATTCATACAAATTGCAGACTGCAGCGTTCTGAGAAACATCTTTGTGATGTTTGTATTCAGGACACAGAGTTGAACATTCCCTATCATAGAGCAGGTTGGAATCACTCCTTTTGTAGTATCTGGAAGTGGACATTTGGAGCGCTTTCAGGCCTATTTTGGAAAGGGAAATATCTTCCCGTAACAACTATGCAGAAGCATTCTCAGAAACTTGTTTGTGATGTGTGCCCTCTACTGACAGAGTTGAACCGTTCTTTTCATAGAGCAGTTTTGAAACACTCTTTTTGTAGAATCTTCAAGAGGATATTTGCATAGCTTTGAGGATTTCGTGGGAAACGGGATTGTCTTCAGGTAAAATCTAGACAGAAGCATTCTCAGAAACTTCTTTGGGATGTTTGCATTCAAGTCACAGAGTAGAACATTCCCTTTGGTAGAGCAGGTTTGAAACACTCTTTTTGTAGTATCTGGAAGTGGACATTTGGAGCGCTTTCAGGCCCATGTTGGAAAGGGAAATATCTTCCCGTAACAACTAGGCAGAAGCATTCTCAGAAACTTATTTGAGATGTGTGGACTAAACTAAGAGAATTGAACCACCGTTTTGAAGGAGCAGTTTTGAAACACTCTTTTTCTGGAATCTGCAAGAGTATATTTGCCTAGCCTTGAGGATTTCTTTGGAAACGGGATTGTCTTCAGATAAAATCTAGACAGAAGCATTCTCAGAAACTTCTTTGGGATGTTTGCATTCAAGTCACAGAGTAGAACATTCCCTTTGGTAGAGCAGGTTTGAAACACTCTTTTTTTAGTATATGGAAGTGGACATTTGGAGCGCTTTCAGGCCTACGTTGGAAAAGGAAATATCTTCCCATAACAACTAGACAGAAGCATTCTCAGAAACTAGTTTCTGATGTGTGTCCTCAACTAACACAGTTGCACATTTCTTTAGACAGAACAGTTTTGAAACACTCTTTTTGTGGAATCTGCAAGTGGCTATTTGGCTAGATTTGAGGATTTCGTTGGAAACGGGATTACATATAAAAAGCAGACAGCAGCATTCTCAGAAACTTCTTTGTGATGATTGCATTCAAGTCACAGAACTGAACATTCCCTTTCACAGAGCAGGTTTGAAACACTCTTTTTGTAGTGTGTGTAAGTGGACATTTGGAGCACTTTCCGGCCTAAGGTGAAAAAGGAAATATCTTCCCATAAAAACTAGACAGAAGCATTCTCAGAAACTTACTCGTGATGTGTGTCCTCAACTAAAGGAGTAGAACCTTTCTTTTCATAGAGAAGTTTTGAAACGCTCTTTTTGTGGAATCTGCAAGTGGATATTTGGCTAGTTTGGAGGATTTCGTTGGAAGCGGGAATTCATACAAATTGCAGACTGCAGCGTTCTGAGAAACATCTTTGTGATGTTTGTATTCAGGACACAGAGTTGAACATTCCCTATCATAGAGCAGGTTTGAATCACTCCTTTTGTAGTATCTGGAAGTGGACATTTGGAGCGCTTTCAGGCCTATGTTGGAAAAGGAAATATCTTCCCATAACAACTAGACAGAAGCATTCTCAGAAACTTATTTGAGATGTGTGTACTCAACTAAGAGAATTGAACCACCGTTTTGAAGGAGCAGTTTTGAAACACTCTTTTTCTGGAATCTGCAAGTGGATATTTGGCTAGCTTTGGGGATTTCGCTGGAAGCGGGAATACATATAAAAAGCACACAGCATCGTTCTGAGAAACTGCTTTCTGATGTTTGCATTCAAGTCAAAAGTTGAACACTCCCTTTCATAGAGCAGTCCTGAAACACTCCTTTTGCAGTATCTGGAACTGGACTTTTGGAGCGCTTTCAGGGCTAAGGTGAAAAAGGAAATATCTTCCCATAAAAAATGGACAGAAGCATTCTCAGAAACTTGTTTATGCTGTATCTACTCAACTAACAAAGTTGAACCTTTCTTTTGATAGAGCAGTTTTGAAATGCTCTTTTTGTGGAATCTGCAAGTGGATATTTGGCTAGTTTTGAGGATTTCGTTGGAAGCGGGAATTCATACAAATTGCAGACTGCAGCGTTCTGAGAAACATCTTTGTGATGTTTGTATTCAGGACACAGAGATGAACATTCCCTATCATAGAGCAGGTTGGAATCACTCCTTTTGTAGTATCTGGAAGTGGACATTTGGAGCGCTTTCAGGCCTATGTTGAAAAAGGAAATATCTTCCCATAACAACTAGACACAAGCATTCTCAGAAACTTGTTTGTGATGTGTGCCCTCTACTGACAGAGTTGAACCTTTCTTTTCATAGAGCAGTTTTGAAACACTCTTTTTGTAGAATCCGCAAGAGGATATTTGCATAGCTTTGAGGATTTCGTGGGAAACGGGATTGTCTTCAGGTAAAATCTAGACAGAAGCATTCTCAGAAACTTCTTTGGGATGTTTGCACTCAAGTCACAGAGTAGAACATTCCCTTTGGTACAGCAGGTTTGAAACACTCTTTTTGTAGTATCTGGAAGTGGACATTTGGAGCGCTTTCAGGCCCATGTTGGAAAGGGAAATATCTTCCCGTAACAACTAGGCAGAAGCATTCTCAGAAACTTATTTGAGATGTGTGTACTCAACTAAGAGAATTGAACCACCGTTTTGAAGGAGCAGTTTTGAAACCCTCTTTTTCTGGAATCTGCAAGAGTATATTTGCCTAGCCTTGAGGATTTCGTTGGAAACGGGATTGTCTTCAGATAAAATCTAGACAGAAGCATTCTCAGAAACTTCTTTGGGATGTTTGCATTGAAGTCACAGAGTAGAACATTCCCTTTGGTAGAGCAGGTTTGAAACACTCTTTTTTTAGTATATGGAAGTGGACATTTTGATCGCTTTCAGGCTTACGTTGGAAAAGGAAATATCTTCCCATAACAACTAGACAGAAGCATTCTCAGAAACTAGTTTCTGATGTGTGTCCTCAACTAACACAGTTGAACATTTCTTTAGACAGAACAGTTTTGAAACACTCTTTTTGTGGAATCTGCAAGTGGCTATTTGGCTAGATTTGAGGATTTCGTTGGAAACGGGATTACATATAAAAAGCAGTCAGCAGCATTCTCAGAAAGTTCTTTGTGATGATTGCATTCAAGTCACAGAATTGAACACTCCCTTTCACAGAGCAGGTTTGAAACACTCTTTTTGTAGTGTGTGTAAGTGGACATTTGGAGCGCTTTCCGGCCTAAGGTGAAAAAGGAAATATCTTCCCATAAAAACTAGACAGAAGCATTCTCAGAAACTTACTCGTGATGTGTGTCCTCAACTAAAGGAGTAGAACCTTTCTTTTCATAGAGAAGTTTTGAAACGCTCTTTTTGTGGAATCTGCAAGTGGATATTTGGCTAGTTTTGAGGATTTCGTTGGAAGCGGGAATTCATACAAATTGCAGACTGCAGAGTTCTGAGAAACATCTTTGTGATGTTTGTATTCAGGACACAGAGATGAACATTCCCTATCATAGAGCAGGTTGGAATCACTCCTTTTGTAGTATCTGGAAGTGGACATTTGGAGCGCTTTCAGGCCTATGTTGAAAAAGGAAATATCTTCCCATAACAACTAGACACAAGCATTCTCAGAAACTTATTTGAGATGTGTGTACTCAACTAAGAGAATTGAACCACCGTTTTGAAGGAGCAGTTTTGAAACACTCTTTTTCTGGAATCTGCAAGTGGATATTTGGCTAGCTTTGGGGATTTCGCTGGAAGCGGGAATACATATAAAAAGCACACAGCAGCGTTCTGAGAAACTGCTTTCTGATGTTTGCATTCAAGTCAAAAGTTGAACACTCCCTTTCATAGAGCAGTCTTGAAACACCCCTTTTGTAGTATCTGGAACTGGACTTTTGGAGCGATTTCAGGGCTAAGGTGAAAAAGGAAATATCTTCCCATAAAAACTGGACAGAAGCATTCTCAGAAACTTGTTTATGCTGTATCTACTCAACTAACAAAGTTGAACCTTTCTTTTGATAGAGCAGTTTTGAAATGGTCTTTTTGTGGAATCTGCAAGTGGATATTTGGCTAGTTTTGAGGATTTCGTTGGAAGCGGGAATTCATACAAATTGCAGACTGCAGCGTTCTGAGAAACATCTTTGTGATGTTTGTATTCAGGACACAGAGTTGAACATTCCCTATCATAGAGCAGGTTGGAATCACTCCTTTTGTAGTATCTGGAAGTGGACATTTGGAGCGCTTTCAGGCCTATGTTGAAAAAGGAAATATCTTCCCATAACAACTAGACACAAGCATTCTCAGAAACTTGTTTGTGATGTGTGCCATCTACTGACAGAGTTGAACCTTTCTTTTCATAGAGCAGTTTTGAAACACTCTTTTTGTAGAATCTGCAAGAGGATATTTGCATAGCTTTGAGGATTTCGTGGGAAACGGGATTGTCTTCAGGTAAAATCTAGACAGAAGCATTCTCAGAAACTTCTTTGGGATGTTTGCATTCAAGTCACAGAGTAGAACATTCCCTTTGGTAGAGCAGGTTTGAAACACTCTTTTTGTAGTATCTGGAAGTGGACATTTGGAGCGCTTTCAGGCCTATGTTGGAAAGGGAAATATCTTCCCGTAACAACTAGGCAGAAGCATTCTCAAAAACTTATTTGAGATGTGTGTACTCAACTAAGAGAATTGAACCACCGTTTTGAAGGAGCAGTTTTGAAACACTCTTTTTCTGGAATCTGCAAGAGGATATTTGCCTAGCCTTGAGGATTTCGTTGGAAACGGGATTGTCTTCAGATCAAATCTAGACAGAAGCATTCTCAGAAACTTCTTTGGGATGTTTGCATTCAAGTCACAGAGTAGAACATTCCCTTTGGTAGAGCAGGTTTGAAACACTCTTTTTTTAGTATATGGAAGTGGACATTTGGAGCGCTTTCAGGCCTACGTTGGAAAAGGAAATATCTTCCCATAACAACTAGACAGAAGCATTCTCAGAAACTAGTTTCTGATGTGTGTCCTCAACTAACACAGTTGAACATTTCTTTAGACAGAACAGTTTTGAAACACTCTTTTTGTGGAATCTGCAAGTGGCTATTTGGCTAGATTTGAGGATTTCGTTAGAAACGGGATTACATATAAAAAGCAGACAGCAGCATTCTCAGAAAGTTCTTTGTGATGATTGCATTCAAGTCACAGAATTGAACATTCCCTTTCACAGAGCAGGTTTGAAACACTCTTTTTGTAGTGTGTGTAAGTGGACATTTGGAGCACTTACCGGCCTAAGGTGAAAAAGGAAATATCTTCCCATAAAAACTAGACAGAAGCATTCTCAGCAAACTTACTCGTGATGTGTGTCCTCAACTAAAGGAGTAGAACCTTTCTTTTCATAGAGAAGTTTTGAAACGCTCTTTTTGTGGAATCTGCAAGTGGATATTTGGCTAGTTTTGAGGATTTCGTTGGAAGCGGGAATTCATACAAATTGCAGACTGCAGCGTTCTGAGAAACATCTTTGTGATGTTTGTATTCAGGACACAGAGTTGAACATTCCCTATCATAGAGCAGGTTTGAATCACTCCTTTTGTAGTATCTGGAAGTGGACATTTGGAGCGCTTTCAGGCCTATGTTGGAAAAGGAAATATCTTCCCATAACAACTAGACAGAAGCATTCTCAGAAACTTATTTGAGATGTGTGTACTCAACTAAGAGAATTGAACCACCGTTTTGAAGGAGCAGTTTTGAAACACTCTTTTTCTGGAATCTGCAAGTGGATATTTGGCTAGCTTTGGGGATTTCGCTGGAAGCGGGAATACATATAAAAAGCCCACAGCAGCGTTCTGAGAAACTGCTTTCTGATGTTTGCATTCAAGTCAAAAGTTGAACACTCCCTTTCATAGAGCAGTCCTGAAACACTCCTTTTGTAGTATCTGGAACTGGACTTTTGGAGCGCTTTCAGGGCTAAGGTGAAAAAGGAAATATCTTCCCATAAAAACTGGACAGAAGCATTCTCAGAAACTTGTTTATGCTGTATCTACTCTACTAAAAAAGTTGAACCTTTCTTTTGATAGAGCAGTTTTGAAATGCTCTTTTTGTGGAATCTGCAAGTGGATATTTGGCTAGTTTTGAGGATTTCGTTGGAAGCTGGAATACATACAAATTGCAGACTGCAAGCGTTCTGAGAAACATCTTTGTGATGTTTGTATTCAGGACACAGAGAGGAACATTCCCTATCATAGAGCAGGTTCGAATCACTCCTTTTGTAGTATCTGGAAGTGGACATTTGGAGCGCTTTCAGGCCTATGTTGAAAAAGGAAATATCTTCCCATAACAACTAGACACAAGCATTCTCAGAAACTTGTTTGTGATGTGTGCCCTCTACTGACAGAGTTGAACCTTTCTTTTCATAGAGCAGTTTTGAAACACTCTTTTTGTAGAATCTGCAAGAGGATATTTGCATAGCTTTGAGGATTTCGTGGGAAACGGGATTGTCTTCAGGTAAAATCTAGACAGAAGCATTCTCAGAAACTTCTTTGGGATGTTTGCATTCAAGTCACAGAGTAGAACATTCCCTTTGGTAGAGCAGGTTTGAAACACTCTTTTTGTAGTATCTGGAAGTGGACATTTGGAGCGCTTTCAGGCCTATGTTGGAAAGGGAAATATCTTCCCGTAACAACTAGGCAGAAGCATTCTCAGAAACTTATTTGAGATGTGTGTACTCAACTAAGAGAATTGAACCACCGTTTTGAAGGAGCAGTTTTGAAACACTCTTTTTCTGGAATCTGCAAGAGGATATTTGCCTAGCCTTGAGGATTTCGTTGGAAACGGGATTGTCTTCAGATCAAATCTAGACAGAAGCATTCTCAGAAACTTCTTTGGGATGTTTGCATTCAAGTCACAGAGTAGAACATTCCCTTTGGTAGAGCAGGTTTGAAACACTCTTTTTTTAGTATATGGAAGTGGACATTTGGAGTGCTTTCAGGCCTACGTTGGAAAAGGAAATATCTTCCCATAACAACTAGACAGAAGCATTCTCAGAAACTAGTTTCTGATGTGTGTCCTCAACTAACACAGTTGAACATTTCTTTAGACAGAACAGTTTTGAAACACTCTTTTTGTGGAATCTGCAAGTGGCTATTTGGCTAGATTTGAGGATTTCGTTGGAAACGGGATTACATATAAAAAGCAGTCAGCAGCATTCTCAGAAAGTTCTTTGTGATGATTGCATTCAAGTCACAGAATTGAACATTCCCTTTCACAGAGCAGGTTTGAAACACTCTTTTTGTAGTGTGTGTAAGTGGACATTTGGAGCACTTACCGGCCTAAGGTGAAAAAGGAAATATCTTCCCATAAAAACTAGACAGAAGCACTCTCAGAAACTTACTCGTGATGTGTGTCCTCAACTAAAGGAGTAGAACCTTTCTTTTCATAGAGAAGTTTTGAAACGCTCTTTTTGCGGAATCTGCAAGTGGATATTTGGCTAGTTTGGAGGATTTCGTTGGAAGCGGGAATTCATACAAATTGCAGACTGCAGCGTTCTGAGAAACATCTTTGTGATGTTTGTATTCAGGACACAGAGTTGAACATTCCCTATCATAGAGCAGGTTGGAATCACTCCTTTTGTAGTATCTGGAAGTGGACATTTGGAGCGCTTTCAGGCCTATGTTGGAAAAGGAAATATCTTCCCATAACAACTAGACAGAAGCATTCTCAGAAACTTATTTGAGATGTGTGTACTCAACTAAGAGAATTGAACCACCGTTTTGAAGGAGCAGTTTTGAAACACTCTTTTTCTGGAATCTGCAATTGGATATTTGGCTAGCTTTGGGGATTTCGCTGGAAGCGGGAATACATATAAAAAGCACACAGCAGCGTTCTGAGAAACTTCTTTCTGATGTTCGCATTCAAGTCAAAAGTTGAACACTCCCTTTCATAGAGCAGTCTTGAAACTCCCCTTTTGTGGTATCTGGAAGTGGACATTTGGAGTGCTTTCAGGGCTAAGGTGAAAAAGGAAATATCTTCCCATAAAAACTGGACAGAAGCATTCTCAGAAACTTGTTTATGCTGTATCTACTCAGCTAACAAAGTTGAACCTTTCTTTTGATAGAGCAGTTTTGAAACACTCTTTTTGTGGAATCTGCAAGTGGATATTTGGCTAGATTTTAGGATTTCGTTGGAAACGTGATTACATATAAAAAGCAGACAGCAGCGTTCTGAGAAACATTTTTGTGATGTTTGTACTCAGGGACAGAGAGTTGAACATTCCCTATCATAGAGCAGGTTGGAATCACTCCTTTTGTAGTATCTGGAAGTGGACATTTGGAGCGCTTTCAGGCCTATGTTGAAAAAGGAAATATCTTCCCATAACAACTAGACACAAGCATTCTGAGAAACTTGTTTGTGATGTGTGCCCTCTACTGACAGAGTTGAACCTTTCTTTTCATAGAGCAGTTTTGAAACACTCTTTTTGTAGAATCTGCAAGAGGATATTTGCATAGCTTTGAGGATTTCGTGGGAAACGGGATTGTCTTCAGGTACAATCTAGACAGAAGCATTCTCAGAAACTTCTTTGGGATGTTTGCATTCAAGTCACAGAGTAGAACATTCCCTTTGGTAGAGCAGGTTTGAAACACTCTTTTTATAGTATCTGGAAGTGGACATTTGGAGCGCTTTCAGGCCTATGTTGGAAAGGGAAATATCTTCCCGTAACAACTAGGCAGAAGCATTCTCAGAAACTTATTGGAGATGTGTGTACTCAACTAAGAGAATTGAACCACCGTTTTGAAGGAGCAGTTTTGAAACACTCTTTTTCTGGAATCTGCAAGAGGATATTTGCCTAGCTTTGAGGATTTCGTTGGAAACGGGATTGTCTTCAGATCAAATCTAGACAGAAGCATTCTCAGAAACTTCTTTGGGATGTTTGCATTCAAGTCACAGAGTAGAACATTCCCTTTGGTAGAGCAGGTTTGAAACACTCTTTTTTTAGTATATGGAAGTGGACATTTGGAGCGCTTTCAGGCCTACGTTGGAAAAGGAAATATCTTCCCATAACAACTAGACAGAAGCATTCTCAGAAACTAGTTTCTGATGTGTGTCCTCAACTAACACAGTTGTACATTTCTTTAGACAGAACAGTTTTGAAACACTCTTTTTGTGGAATCTGCAAGTGGATATTTGGCTAGATTTGAGGATTTCGTTGGAAACGGGATTACATATAAAAAGCAGTCAGCAGCATTCTCAGAAAGTTCTTTGTGATGATTGTATTCAAGTCACAGAATTGAACATTCCCTTTCACAGAGCAGGTTTGAAACACACTTTTTGTAGTATGTGTAAGTGGACATTTGGAGCGCTTTCCGTCCTAAGGTGAAAAAGGAAATATCTTCCCATAAAAACTAGACAGAAGCATTCTCAGAAACTTACTCGTGATGTGTGTCCTCAACTAAAGGAGTAGAACCTTTCTTTTCATAGAGAAGTTTTGAAACGCTCTTTTTGTGGAATCTGCAAGTGGATATTTGGCTAGTTTTGAGGATTTCGTTGGAAGCGGGAATTCATACAAATTGCAGACTGCAGCGTTCTGAGAAACATCTTTGTGATGTTTGTATTCAGGACACAGAGTTGAACATTCCCTATCATAGAGCAGGTTGGAATCACTCCTTTTGTAGTATCTGGAAGTGGACATTTGGAGCGCTTTCAGGCCTATGTTGGAAAAGGAAATATCTTCCCATAACAACTAGACAGAAGCATTCTCAGAAACTTATTTGAGATGTGTGTACTCAACTAAGAGAATTGAACCACCGTTTTGAAGGAGCAGTTTTGAAACACTCTTTTTCTGGAATCTGCAAGTGGATATTTGGCTAGCTTTGGGGATTTCGCTGGAGGCGGGAATACATATAAAAAGCACACAGCAGCGTTCTGAGAAACTGCTTTCTGATGTTTGCATTCAAGTCAAAAGTTGAACACTCCCTTTGATAGAGCAGTCCTGAAACACTCCTTTTGTAGTATCTGGAACTGGACTTTTGGAGCGCTTTCAGGGCTAAGTTGAAAAAGGAAATATCTTCCCATAAAAACTGGACAGAAGCATTCTCAGAAACTTGTTTATGCTGTATCTACTCTACTAACAAAGTTGAACCTTTCTTTTGATAGGGCAGTTTTGAAATGCTCTTTTTGTGGAATCTGCAAGTGGATATTTGGCTAGTTTTGAGGATTTCGTTGGAAGCTGGAATTCATACAAATTGCAGACTGCAGCGTTCTGAGAAACATCTTTGTGATGTTTGTATTCAGGACAGAGAGTTGAACATTCCCTATCATAGAGCAGGTTGGAATCACTCCTTTTGTAGTATCTGGAAGTGGACATTTGGAGCGCTTTCAGGCCTATGTTGAAAAAGGAAATATCTTCCCATAACAACTAGACACAAGCATTCTCAGAAACTTGTTTGTGATGTGTGCCCTCTACTGACAGAGTTGAACCTTTCTTTTCATAGAGCAGTTTTGAAACACTCTTTTTGTAGAATCTGCAAGAGGATATTTGCATAGCTTTGAGGATTTCGTGGGAAACGGGATTGTCTTCAGGTAAAATCTAGACAGAAGCATTCTCAGAAACTTCTTTGGGATGTTTGCATTCAAGTCACAGAGCAGAACATTCCCTTTGGTAGAGCAGGTTTGAAACACTCTTTTTGTAGTATCTGGAAGTGGACATTTGGAGCGCTTTCAGGCCTATGTTGGAAAGGGAAATATCTTCCCGTAACAACTAGGCAGAAGCATTCTCAGAAACTTATTTGAGATGTGTGTACTCAACTAAGAGAATTGAACCACCGTTTTGAAGGAGCAGTTTTGAAACACTCTTTTTCTGGAATCTGCAAGAGGATATTTGCCTAGCCTTGAGGATTTCGTTGGAAACGGGATTGTCTTCAGATCAAATCTAGACAGAAGCATTCTCAGAAACTTCTTTGGGATGTTTGCATTCATGTCACAGAGTAGAACATTCCCTTTGGTAGAGCAGGTTTGAAACACTCTTTTTTTAGTATATGGAAGTGGACATTTGGAGCGCTTTCAGGCCTACGTTGGAAAAGGAAATATCTTCCCATAACAACTAGACAGAAGCATTCTCAGAAACTAGTTTCTGATGTGTGTCCTCAACTAACACAGTTGAATATTTCTTTAGACAGAACAGTTTTGAAACACTCTTTTTGTGGAATCTGCAAGTGGATATTTGGCTAGATTTGAGGATTTCGTTGGAAACGGGATTACATATAAAAAGCAGACAGCAGCATTCTCAGAAACTTCTTTGTGATGATTGCATTCAAGTCACAGAATTGAACATTCCCTTTCACAGAGCAGGTTTGAAACACTCTTTTTGTAGTGTGTGTAAGTGGACATTTGGAGCACTTTCCGGCCTAAGGTGAAAAAGGAAATATCTTCCCATAAAAACTAGACAGAAGCATTCTCAGAAACTTACTCGTGATGTGTGTCCTCAACTAAAGGAGTAGAACCTTTCTTTTCATAGAGAAGTTTTGAAACGCTCTTTTTGTGGAATCTGCAAGTGGATATTTGGCTAGTTTTGAGGATTTCGTTGGAAGCGGGAATTCATACAAATTGCAGACTGCAGCGTTCTGAGAAACATCTTTGTGATGTTTGTATTCAGGACACAGAGTTGAACATTCCCTATCATAGAGCAGGTTTGAATCACTCCTTTTGTAGTATCTGGAAGTGGACATTTGGAGCGCTTTCAGGCCTATGTTGGAAAAGGAAATATCTTCCCATAACAACTAGACAGAAGCATTCTCAGAAACTTATTTGAGATGTGTGTACTCAACTAAGTAGAATTGAACCACCGTTTTGAAGGAGCAGTTTTGAAACTCTCTTTTTCTGGAATCTGCAAGTGGATATTTGGCTAGCTTTGGGGATTTCGCTGGAAGCGGGAATACATATAAAAAGCACACAGCAGCATTCTCAGAAACTTATTTGAGATGTGTGTACTCAACTAAGAGAATTGAACCACCGTTTTGAAGGAGCAGTTTTGAAACACTCTTTTTCTGGAATCTGCAAGTGGATATTTGGCTAGCTTTGGGGATTTCGCTGGAAGCGGGAATACATATAAAAAGCACACAGCAGGGTTCTGAGAAACTGCTTTCTGATGTTTGCATTCAAGTCAAAAGTTGAACACTCCCTTTCATAGAGCAGTCCTGAAACACTCCTTTTGTAGTATCTGGAACTGGACTTTTGGAGCGCTTTCAGGGCTAAGGTGAAAAAGGAAATATCTTCCCATAAAAACTGGACAGAAGCATTCTCAGAAACTTGTTTATGCTGTATCTACTCAACTAACAAAGTTGAACCTTTCTTTTGATAGAGCAGTTTTGAAATGCTCTTTTTGTGGAATCTGCAAGTGGATATTTGGCTAGTTTTGAGGATTTTCGTTGGAAGCCGGAATTCATACAAATTGCAGACTGCAGCATTCTCAGAAACTTATTTGAGATGTGTGTACTCAACTAAGAGAATTGAACCACCGTTTTGAAGGAGCAGTTTTGAAACACTCTTTTTCTGGAATCTGCAAGTGGATATTTGGCTAGCTTTGGGGATTTCGCTGGAAGCGGGAATACATATAAAAAGCACACAGCAGCGTTCTGAGAAACTGCTTTCTGATGTTTGCATTCAAGTCAAAAGTTGAACACTCCCTTTCATAGAGCAGTCCTGAAACACTCCTTTTGTAGTATCTGGAACTGGACTTTTGGAGCGCTTTCAGGGCTAAGGTGAAAAAGGAAATATCTTCCCATAAAAACTGGACAGAAGCATTCTCAGAAACTTGTTTATGCTGTATCTACTCTACTAACAAAGTTGAACCTTTCTTTTGATAGAGCAGTTTTGAAATGCTCTTTTTGTGGAATCTGCAAGTGGATATTTGGCTAGATTTCAGGATTTCGTTGGAAGCTGGAATTCATACAAATTGCAGACTGCAGCGTTCTGAGAAACATCTTTGTGATGTTTGTATTCAGGACACAGAGTTGAACATTCCCTATCATAGAGCAGGTTGGAATCACTCCTTTTGTAGTATCTGGAAGTGGACATTTGGAGCGCTTTCAGGCCTATGTTGAAAAAGGAAATATCTTCCCATAACAACTAGACACAAGCATTCTCAGAAACTTGTTTGTGATGTGTGCCCTCTGCTGACAGAGTTGAACCTTTCTTTTCATAGAGCAGTTTTGAAACACTCTTTTTGTAGAATCTGCAAGAGGATATTTGCATAGCTTTGAGGATTTCGTGGGAAACGGGATTGTGTTCAGGTAAAATCTAGACAGAAGCATTCTCAGAAACTTCTTTGGGATGTTTGCATTCAAGTCACAGAGTAGAACATTCCCTTTGGTAGAGCAGGTTTGAAACCCTCTTTTTGTAGTATCTGGAAGTGGACATTTGGAGCGCTTTCAGGCCCATGTTGGAAAGGGAAATATCTTCCCGTAACAACTAGGCAGAAGCATTCTCAGAAACTTATTTGAGATGTGTGTACTCAACTAAGAGAATTGAACCACCGTTTTGAAGGAGCAGTTTTGAAACACTCTTTTTCTGGAATCTGCAAGAGTATATTTGCCTAGCCTTGAGAATTTCGTTGGAAACGGGATTGTCTTCAGATAAAATCTAGACAGAAGCATTCTCAGAAACTTCTTTGGGATGTTTGCATTCAAGTCACAGAGTAGAACATTCCCTTTGGTAGAGCAGGTTTGAAACACTCTTTTTTTAGTATATGGAAGTGGACATTTGGAGCGCTTTCAGGCCTACGTTGGAAAAGGAAATATCTTCCCATAACAACTAGACAGAAGCATTCTCAGAAACTAGTTTCTGATGTGTGTCCTCAACTAACACAGTTGAACATTTCTTTAGACAGAACAGTTTTGAAACACTCTTTTTGTGGAATCTGCAAGTGGCTATTTGGCTAGATTTGAGGATTTCGTTGGAAACGGGATTACATATAAAAAGCAGTCAGCAGCATTCTCAGAAAGTTCTTTGTGATGATTGCATTCAAGTCACAGAATTGAACATTCCCTTTCACAGAGCAGGTTTGAAACACTCTTTTTGTAGTGTGTGTAAGTGGACATTTGGAGCACTTACCGGCCTAAGGTGAAAAAGGAAATATCTTCCCATAAAAACTAGACAGAAGCATTCTCAGAAACTTACTCGTGATGTGTGTCCTCAACTAAAGGAGTAGAACCTTTCTTTTCATAGAGAAGTTTTGAAACGCTCTTTTTGTGGAATCTGCAAGTGGATATTTGGCTAGTTTGGAGGATTTCGTTGGAAGCGGGAATTCATACAAATTGCAGACTGCAGCGTTCTGAGAAACATCTTTGTGATGTTTGTATTCAGGACACAGAGTTGAACATTCCCTATAATAGAGCAGGTTGGAATCACTCCTTTTGTAGTATCTGGAAGTGGACATTTGGAGCGCTTTCAGGCCTATGTTGAAAAAGGAAATATCTTCCCATAACAACTAGACAGAAGCATTCTCAGAAACTTATTTGAGATGTGTGTACTCAACTAAGAGAATTGAACCACCGTTTTGAAGGAGCAGTTTTGAAACTCTCTTTTTCTGGAATCTGCAAGTGGATATTTGGCTAGCTTTGGGGATTTCGCTGGAAGCGGGAATACATATAAAAAGCACACAGCAGCGTTCTGAGAAACTGCTTTCTGATGTTTGCATTCAAGTCAAAAGTTGAACACTCCCTTTCATAGAGCAGTCTTGAAACACCCCTTTTGTAGTATCTGGAACTGGACTTTTGGAGCGATTTCAGGGCTAAGGTGAAAAAGGAAATATCTTCCCATAAAAACTGGACAGAAGCATTCTCAGAAACTTGGTTATGCTGTATCTACTCAACTAACAAAGTTGAACCTTTCTTTTGATAGAGCAGTTTTGAAATGGTCTTTTTGTGGAATCTGCAAGTGGATATTTGGCTAGTTTTGAGGATTTCGTTGGAAGCGGGAATTCATACAAATTGCAGACTGCAGCGTTCTGAGAAACATCTTTGTGATGTTTGTATTCAGGACACAGAGTTGAACATTCCCTATCATAGAGCAGGTTGGAATCACTCCTTTTGTAGTATCTGGAAGTGGACATTTGGAGCGCTTTCAGGCCTATTTTGGAAAGGGAAATATCTTCCCGTAACAACTATGCAGAAGCATTCTCAGAAACTTGTTTGTGATGTGTGCCCTCTACTGACAGAGTTGAACCTTTCTTTTCATAGAGCAGTTTTGAAACACTCTTTTTGTAGAATCTGCAAGAGGATATTTGCATAGCTTTGAGGATTTCGTGGGAAACGGGATTGTCTTCAGGTAAAATCTAGACAGAAGCATTCTCAGAAACTTCTTTGGGATGTTTGCATTCAAGTCACAGAGCAGAACATTCCCTTTGGTAGAGCAGGTTTGAAACACTCTTTTTGTAGTATCTGGAAGTGGACATTTGGAGCGCTTTCAGGCCTATGTTGGAAAGGGAAATATCTTCCCGTAACAACTAGGCAGAAGCATTCTCAGAAACTTATTTGAGATGTGTGTACTCAACTAAGAGAATTGAACCACCGTTTTGAAGGAGCAGTTTTGAAACACTCTTTTTCTGGAATCTGCAAGAGGATATTTGCCTAGCCTTGAGGATTTCGTTGGAAACGGGATTGTCTTCAGATCAAATCTAGACAGAAGCATTCTCAGAAACTTCTTTGGGATGTTTGCATTCAAGTCACAGAGTAGAACATTCCCTTTGGTAGAGCAGGTTTGAAACACTCTTTTTTTAGTATATGGAAGTGGACATTTGGAGCGCTTTCAGGCCTACGTTGGAAAAGGAAATATCTTCCCATAACAACTAGACAGAAGCATTCTCAGAAACTAGTTTCTGATGTGTGTCCTCAACTAACACAGTTGAACTTTTCTTTAGAAAGAACAGTTTTGAAACACTCTTTTTGTGGAATCTGCAAGTGGCTATTTGGCTAGATTTGAGGATTTCGTTGGAAACGGGATTACATATAAAAAGCAGACAGCAGCATTCTCAGAAAGTTCTTTGTGATGATTGCATTCAAGTCACAGAATTGAACATTCCCTTTCACAGAGCAGGTTTGAAACACTCTTTTTGTAGTGTGTGTAAGTGGACATTTGGAGCGCTTTCCGGCCTAAGGTGAAAAAGGACATATCTTCCCATAAAAACTAGACAGAAGCATTCTCAGAAACTTACTCGTGATGTGTGTCCTCACCTAAAGGAGTGGAAACTTTCTATTCATGGAGAAGTTTTGAAACGCTCTTTTTGTGGAATCTCCAAGTGGATATTTGGCTAGTTTTGAGGATTTCGTTGGAAGCGGGAATTCATACAAATTGCAGACTGCAGCGTTCTGAGAAACATCTTTGTGATGTTTGTATTCAAGACACAGAGATGAACATTCCCTATCATAGAGCATGTTGGAATCACTCCTTTTGTAGTATCTGGAAGTGGACATTTGGAGCGCTTTCAGGCCTATGTTGAAAAAGGAAATATCTTCCCATAACAACTAGACACAAGCGTTCTCAGAAACTTGTTTGTGATGTGTGCCCTCCACTGACAGAGTTGAACCTTTCTTTTCATAGAGCAGTTTTGAAACACTCTTTTTGTAGAATCTGCAAGAGGATATTTGCATAGCTTTGAGGATTTCGTGGGAAACGGGATTGTCTTCAGGTAAAATCTAGACAGAAGCATTCTCAGAAACTTCTTTGGGATGTTTGCATTCAAGTCACAGAGTAGAACATTCCCTTTGGTAGAGCAGGTTTGAAACACTCTTTTTGTAGTATCTGGAAGTGGACATTTGGAGCGCTTTCAGGCCCATGTTGGAAAGGGAAATATCTTCCCGTAACAACTAGGCAGAAGCATTCTCAGAAACTTATTGGAGATGTGTGTACTCAACTAAGAGAATTGAACCACCGTTTTGAAGGAGCAGTTTTGAAACACTCTTTTTCTGGAATCTGCAAGAGTATATTTGCCTAGCCTTGAGGATTTCGTTGGAAACGGCATTGTCTTCAGAGAAAATCTAGACAGAAGCATTCTCAGAAACTTCTTTGGGATGTTTGCATTCAAGTCACAGAGTAGAACATTCCCTTTGGTAGAGCAGGTTTGAAACACTCTTTTTTTAGTATATGGAAGTGGACATTTGGAGCGCTTTCAGGCCTACGTTGGAAAAGGAAATATCTTCCCATAACAACTAGACAGAAGCATTCTCAGAAACTAGTTTCTGATGTGTGTCCTCAACTAACACAGTTGTACATTTCTTTATACAGAACAGTTTTGAAACACTCTTTTTGTGGAATCTGCAAGTGGATATTGGGCTAGATTTGAGGATTTCGTTGGAAACAGGATTACATATAAAAAGCAGACAGCAGCATTCTCAGAAAGTTCTTTGTGATGATTGCATTCAAGTCACAGAATTGAACATTCCCTTTCACAGAGCAGGTTTGAAACACTCTTTTTGTAGTGTGTGTAAGTGGACATTTGGAGCGCTTTCCGGCCTAAGGTGAAAAAGGAAATATCTTCCCATAAAAACTAGACAGAAGCATTCTCAGAAACTTACTCGTGATGTGTGTCCTCAACTAAAGGAGTAGAACCTTTCTATTCATAGAGAAGTTTTGAAACGCTCTTTTTGTGGAATCTCCAAGTCGATATTTGGCTAGTTTTGAGGATTTCGTTGGAAGCGGGAATTCATCCAAATTGCAGACTGCAGCGTTCTGAGAAACATCTTTGTGATGTTTGTATTCAGGACACAGAGATGAACATTCCCTATCATAGAGCAGGTTGGAATCACTCCTTTTGTAGTATCTGGAAGTGGACATTTGGAGCGCTTTCAGGCCTATGTTGAAAAAGGAAATATCTTCCCATAACAACTAGACACAAGGATTCTCAGAAAGTTGTTTGTGATGTGTGCCCTCTACTGACAGAGTTGAACCTTTCTTTTCATAGAGCAGTTTTGAAACACTCTTTTTGTAGAATCCGCAAGAGGATATTTGCATAGCTTTGAGGATTTCGTGGGAAACGGGATTGTCTTCAGGTAAAATCTAGACAGAAGCATTCTCAGAAACTTCTTTGGGATGTTTGCATTCAAGTCACAGAGTAGAACATTCCCTTTGGTAGAGCAGGTTTGAAACACTCTTTTTGTAGTATCTGGAAGTGGACATTTGGAGCGCTTTCAGGCCCATGTTGGAAAGGGAAATATCTTCCCGTAACAACTAGGCAGAAGCATTCTCAGAAACATATTTGAGATGTGTGTACTCAACTAAGAGAATTGAACCACCGTTTTGAAGGAGCAGTTTTGAAACACTCTTTTTCTGGAATCTGCAAGAGTATATTTGCCTAGCCTTGAGGATTTCGTTGGAAACGGGATTGTCTTCAGATAAAATGTAGACAGAAGCATTCTCAGAAACTTCTTTGGGATGTTTGCATTCAAGTCACAGAGTAGAACATTCCCTTTGGTAGAGCAGGTTTGAAACAATCTTTTTTTCGTATATGGAAGTGGACATTTGGAGCGCTTTCAGGCCTACGTTGGAAAAGGAAATATCTTCCCATAACAACTAGACAGAAGCATTCTCAGAAACTAGTTTCTGATGTGTGTCCTCAACTAACACAGTTGTACATTTCTTTAGACAGAACAGTTATGAAACACTCTTTTTGTGGAATCTGCAAGTGGCTATTTGGCTAGATTTGAGGATTTCGTTGGAAACGGGATTACATATAAAAAGCAGTCAGCAGCATTCTCAGAAAGTTCTTTGTGATGATTGCATTCAAGTCACAGAATTGAACATTCCCTTTCACAGAGCAGGTTTGAAACACTCTTTTTGTAGTGTGTGTAAGTGGACATTTGGAGCACTTTCCGGCCTAAGGTGAAAAAGGAAATATCTTCCCTTAAAAACTAGACAGAAGCATTCTCAGAAACTTACTCGTGATGTGTGTCCTCAACTAAAGGAGTAGAACCTTTCTTTTCATAGAGAAGTTTTGAAACGCTCTTTTTGTGGAATCTGCAAGTGGATATTTGGCTAGTTTTGAGGATAACGTTGGAAGCTGGAATTCATACAAATTGCAGACTGCAGCGTTCTGAGAAACATCTTTGTGATGTTTGTATTCAGGACAGAGAGTTGAACATTCCCTATCATAGAGCAGGTTGGAATCACTCCTTTTGTAGTATCTGGAAGTGGACATTTGGAGCGCTTTCAGGCCTATGTTGAAAAAGGAAATATCTTCCCATAACAACTAGACACTAGACATTCTCAGAAACTTGTTTGTGATGTGTGCCCTCTACTGACAGAGTTGAACCTTTCTTTTCATAGAGCAGTTTTGAAACACTCTTTTTGTAGAATCTGCAAGAGGATATTTGCATAGCTTTGAGGGTTTCGTGGGAAACGGGATTGTCTTCAGGTAAAATCTAGACAGAAGCGTTCTGAGAAACTGCTTTCTGATGTTTGCATTCAAGTCAAAAGTTGAACACTCCCTTTCATAGAGCAGTCTTGAAACACCCCTTTTGTAGTATCTGGAACTGGACTTTTGGAGCGATTTCAGGGCTAAGGTGAAAAAGGAAATATCTTCCCATAAAAACTGGACAGAAGCATTCTCAGAAACTTGTTTATGCTGTATCTACTCAACTAACAAAGTTGAACCTTTCTTTTGATAGAGCAGTTTTGAAATGGTCTTTTTGTGGAATCTGCAAGTGGATATTTGGCTAGTTTTGAGGATTTCGTTGGAAGCGGGAATTCATACAAATTGCAGACTGCAGCGTTCTGAGAAACATCTTTGTGATGTTTGTATTCAGGACACAGAGTTGAACATTCCCTATCATAGAGCAGGTTGGAATCACTCCTTTTGTAGTATCTGGAAGTGGACATTTGGAGCGCTTTCAGGCCTATTTTGGAAAGGGAAATATCTTCCCGTAACAACTATGCAGAAGCATTCTCAGAAACTTATTTGAGATGTGTGTACTCAACTAAGAGAATTGAACCACCGTTTTGAAGGAGCAGTTTTGACACACTCTTTTTCTGGAATCTGCAAGTGGATATTTGGCTAGCTTTGGGGATTTCGCTGGAAGCGGGAATACATATAAAAAGCACACAGCAGCGTTCTGAGAAACTGCTTTCTGATGTTTGCATTCAAGTCAAAAGTTGAACACTCCCTTTCATAGAGCAGTCTTGAAACACCCCTTTTGTAGTATCTGGAACTGGACTTTTGGAGCGATTTCAGGGCTAAGGTGAAAAAGGAAATATCTTCCCATAAAAACTGGACAGAAGCATTCTCAGAAACTTGTTTATGCTGTATCTACTCAACTAACAAAGTTGAACCTTTCTTTTGATAGAGCAGTTTTGAAATGGTCTTTTTGTGGAATCTGCAAGTGGATATTTGGCTAGTTTTGAGGATTTCGTTGGAAGCGGGAATTCATACAAATTGCAGACTGCAGCGTTCTGAGAAACATCTTTGTGATGTTTGTATTCAGGACACAGAGTTGAACATTCCCTATCATAGAGCAGGTTGGAATCACTCCTTTTGTAGTATCTGGAAGTGGACATTTGGAGCGCTTTCAGGCCTATTTTGGAAAGGGAAATATCTTCCCGTAACAACTATGCAGAAGCATTCTCAGAAACTTATTTGAGATGTGTGTACTCAACTAAGAGAATTGAACCACCGTTTTGAAGGAGCAGTTTTGAAACACTCTTTTTCTGGAATCTGCAAGAGTATATTTGCCTAGCCTTGAGGATTTCGTTGGAAACGGGATTGTCTTCAGATAAAATCTAGACAGAAGCATTCTCAGAAACTTCTTTGGGATGTTTGCATTCAAGTCACAGAGTAGAACATTCCCTTTGGTAGAGCAGGTTTGAAACACTCTTTTTTTAGTATATGGAAGTGGACATTTGGAGCGCTTTCAGGCCTACGTTGGAAAAGGAAATATCTTCCCATAACAACTAGACAGAAGCATTCTCAGAAACTAGTTTGTGATGTGTGTCCTCAACTAACACAGTTGTACATTTCTTTATACAGAACAGTTTTGAAACACTCTTTTTGTGGAATCTGCAAGTGGATATTGGGCTAGATTTGAGGATTTCGTTGGAAACGGGATTACATATAAAAAGCAGACAGCAGCATTCTCAGAAACTTCTTTGTGATGATTGCATTCAAGTCACAGAATTGAACATTCCCTTTCACAGAGCAGGTTTGAAACACTCTTTTTGTAGTGTGTGTAAGTGGACATTTGGAGCGCTTTCCGGCCTAAGGTGAACAAGGAAATATCTTCCCATAAAAACTAGACAGAAGCATTCTCAGAAACTTACTCGTGATGTGTGTCCTCAACTAAAGGAGTAGAACCTTTCTTTTCATAGAGAAGTTTTGAAACGCTCTTTTTGTGGAATCTGCAAGTGGATATTTGGCTAGTTTTGAGGCTTTCGTTGGAAGCGGGAATTCATACAAATTGCAGACTGCAGCATTCTCAGAAACTTCTTTGTGATGATTGCATTCCAGTCACAGAATTGAACATTCCCTTTCATAGAGCAGGTTTGAAACACTCTTTTTGTAGTGTCTGTAAGTGGACATTTGGAGCGCTTTCCGGCCTCAGGTGAAAAAGGAAATATCTTCCCATAAAAACTAGACAGAAGCATTCTCAGAAACTTACTCGTGATGTGTGTCCTCAACTAAAGGGGTAGAACCTTTCTTTTCATAGAGCAGTTTTGAAACACTCTTTTTGTAGAATCTGCAAGTGGATATTTCGATAGCTTTGTGGATTTCGTTGGAAACGGGAATATCTTCATATAAAATCTAGAGAGAAGCGTTCTGAGAAACTGCTTTCTGATGTTTGCATTCAAGTCAAAAGTTGAACACTCCCTTTCATAGAGCAGTCTTGAAACACCCCTTTTGTAGTATCTGGAACTGGACATTTGGAGCGCTTCAGGGCTAAGGTGAAAAAGGAAATATCTTCCCATAAAAACTGGACAGAAGCATTCTCAGAATCTTATTTGAGATGTGTGTACTCAACTAAGAGAATTGAACCACCGTTTTGAAGGAGCAGTTTTGAAACACTCTTTTTCTGGAATCTGCAAGTGGATATTTGGCTAGCTTTGGGGATTTCGTTGGAAACGGGATTACATATAAAAAGCAGACAGCAGCGTTCTGAGAAACTGCTTTCTGATGTTTGCATTCAAGTCAAAAGTTGAACACTCCCTTTCATAGGGCAGTCCTGAAACACCCCTTTTGTAGTATCTGGAACTGGACTTTTGGAGCGATTTCAGGGCTAAGGTGAAAAAGGAAATATCTTCCCATAAAAACTGGACAGAAGCATTCTCAGAAAATTGTTTATGCTGTATCTACTCAACTAACAAAGTTGAACCTTTCTTTTGATAGAGCAGTTTTGAAATGGTCTTTTTGTGGAATCTGCAAGTGGATATTTGGCTAGTTTTGAGGATTTCTTTGGAAGCGGGAATTCATACAAATTGCAGACTGCAGCGTTCTGAGAAACATCTTTGTGATGTTTGTATTCAGGACACAGAGTTGAACATTCCCTATCATAGAGCAGGTTGGAATCACTCCTTTTGTAGTATCTGGAAGTGGACATTTGGAGCGCTTTCAGGCCTATTTTGGAAAGGGAAATATCTTCCCGTAACAACTATGCAGAAGCATTCTCAGAAACTTGTTTGTGATGTGTGCCCTCTACTGACAGAGTTGAACCTTTCTTTTCATAGAGCAGTTTTGAAACACTCTTTTTGTAGAATCTGCAAGAGGATATTTGCATAGCTTTGAGGATTTCGTGGGAAACGGGATTGTCTTCAGGTAAAAATCTAGACAGAAGCATTCTCAGAAACTTCTTTGGGATGTTTGCATTCAAGTCACAGAGTAGAACATTCCCTTTGGTAGAGCAGGTTTGAAACACTCTTTTTGTAGTATCTGGAAGTGGACATTTGGAGCGCTTTCAGGCCTATGTTGGAAAGGGAAATATCTTCCCGTAACAACTAGGCAGAAGCATTCTCAGAAACTTATTTGAGATGGGTGTACTCAACTAAGAGAATTGAACCACCCTTTTCAAGGAGCAGTTTTGAAACACTCTTTTTCTGGAATCTGCAAGAGTATATTTGCCTAGCTTTGAGGATTTCGTTGGAAACGGGATTGTCTTCAGATAAAATCTAGACAGAAGCATTCTCAGAAACTTCTTTGGGTGTTTGCATTCAATTCATAGAGTAGAACATTCCCTTTGTTAGAGCAGGTTTGAAACACTCTTTTTTTAGTATATGGAAGTGGACATTTGGAGCGCTTTCAGGCCTACGTTGGAAAAGGAAATATCTTCCCATAACAACTAGACAGAAGCATTCTCAGAAACTAGTTTCTGATGTGTGTCCTCAACTAACACAGTTGAACATTTCTTTAGACAGAACAGTTTTGAAACACTCTTTTTGTGGAATCTGCAAGTGGCTATTTGGCTAGATTTGAGGATTTCTTTGGAAACGGGATTACATATAAAAAGCTGACAGCAGCATTCTCAGAAAGTTCTTTGTGATGATTGCATTCAAGTCACAGAATTGAACATTCCCTTTCACAGAGCAGGTTTGAAACACTCTTTTTGTTGTGTGTGTAAGTGGACATTTGGAGCGACTTTCCGGCCTAAGGTGAAAAAGGACATATCTTCCCATAAAAACTAGACAGAAGCATTCTCAGAAACTTACTCGTGATGTGTGTCCTCAACTAAAGGAGTAGAACCTTTCTTTTCATAGAGAAGTTTTGAAACGCTCTTTTTGTGGAATCTGCAAGTGGATATTTGGCTAGTTTTGAGGATTTCGTTGGAAGCGGGAATTCATACAAATTGCAGACTGCAGCGCTCTGAGAAACATCTTTGTGATGTTTGTATTCAGGACACAGAGTTGAACATTCCCTATCATAGAGCAGGTTTGAATCACTCCTTTTGTAGTATCTGGAAGTGGACATTTGGAGCGCTTTCAGGCCTATGTTGGAAAAGGAAATATCTTCCCATAACAACTAGACAGAAGCATTCTCAGAAACTTATTTGAGATGTGTGTACTCAACTAAGAGAATTGAACCACCGTTTTGAAGGAGCAGTTTTGAAACACTCTTTTTCTGGAATCTGCAAGTGGATATTTGGCTAGCTTTGGGGATTTCGCTGGAAGCGGGAATACATATAAAAAGCACACAGCAGCGTTCTGAGAAACGGCTTTCTGATGTTTGCATTCAAGTCAAAAGTTGAACACTCCCTTTCATAGAGCAGTCTTGAAACACCCCTTTTGTAGTATCTGGAACTGGACTTTTGGAGCGATTTCAGGGCTAAGGTGAAAAAGGAAATATCTTCCCATAAAAACTGGACAGAAGCATTCTCAGAAACTTGTTTATGCTGTATCTACTCAACTAACAAAGTTGAACCTTTCTTTTGATAGAGCAGTTTTGAAATGGTCTTTTTGTGGAATCTGCAAGTGGATATTTGGCTAGTTTTGAGGATTTCGTTGGAAGCGGGAATTCATACAAATTGCAGACTGCAGCGTTCTGAGAAACATCTTTGTGATGTTTGTATTCAGGACACAGAGTTGAACATTCCCTATCATAGAGCAGGTTGGAATCACTCCTTTTGTAGTATCTGGAAGTGGACATTTGGAGCGCTTTCAGGCCTATTTTGGAAAGAGAAATATCTTCCCGTAACAACTATGCAGAAGCATTCTCAGAAACTTGTTTGTGATGTGTGCCCTCTACTGACAGAATTGAACCTTTCTTTTCATAGAGCAGTTTTGAAACACTCTTTTTGTAGAATCTGCAAGAGGATATTTGCATAGCATTTGAGGATTTCGTGGGAAACGGGATTGTCTTCAGGTAAAATCCGTCAGACAGAAGCATTCTCAGAAACTTCTTTGGGATGTTTGCATTCAAGTCACAGAGTAGAACATTCCCTTTGGTAGAGCAGGTTTGAAACACTCTTTTTGTAGTATCTGGAAGTGGACATTTGGAGCGCTTTCAGGCCCATGTTGGAAAGGGAAATATCTTCCCGTAACAACTAGGCAGAAGCATTCTCAGAAACTTATTTGAGATGTGTGTACTCAACTAAGAGAATTGAACCACCGTTTTGAAGGAGCAGTTTTGAAACACTCTTTTTCTGGAATCTGCAAGAGTATATTTGCCTAGCCTTGAGGATTTCGTTGGAAACGGGATTGTCTTCAGAGAAAATCTAGACAGAAGCATTCTCAGAAACTTCTTTGGGATGTTTGCATTCAAGTCACAGAGTAGAACATTCCCTTTGGTAGAGCAGGTTTGAAACACTCTTTTTGTAGTATCTGGAAGTGGACATTTGGAGCGCTTTCAGGCCTACGTTGGAAAAGGAAATATCTTCCCATAACAACTAGACAGAAGCATTCTCAGAAACTAGTTTCTGATGTGTGTCCTCAACTAACACAGTTGAACATTTCTTTAGACAGAACAGTTTTGAAACACTCTTTTTGTGGAATCTGCAAGTGGCTATTTGGCTAGATTTGAGGATTTCGTTGGAAACGGGATTACATATAAAAAGCAGTCAGCAGCATTCTCAGAAAGTTCTTTGTGATGATTGCATTCAAGTCACAGAATTGAACATTCCCTTTCACAGAGCAGGTTTGAAACACTCTTTTTGTAGTGTGTGTAAGTGGACATTTGGAGCACTTACCGGCCTAAGGTGAAAAAGGAAATATCTTCCCATAAAAACTAGACAGAAGCATTCTCAGAAACTTACTCGTGATGTGTGTCCTCAACTAAAGGAGTAGAACCTTTCTTTTCATAGAGAAGTTTTGAAACGCTCTTTTTGTGGAATCTGCAAGTGGATATTTGGCTAGTTTTGAGGATTTCGTTGGAAGCGGGAATTCATACAAATTGCAGACTGCAGCGTTCTGAGAAACATCTTTGTGATGTTTGTATTCAGGACACAGAGTTGAACATTCCCTATCATAGAGCAGGTTTGAATCACTCCTTTTGTAGTATCTGGAAGTGGACATTTGGAGCGCTTTCAGGCCTATGTTGGAAAAGGAAATATCTTCCCATAACAACTAGACAGAAGCATTCTCAGAAACTTATTTGAGATGTGTGTACTCAACTAAGAGAATTGAACCACCGTTTTGAAGGAGCAGTTTTGAAACACTCTTTTTCTGGAATCTGCAAGTGGATATTTGGCTAGCTTTGGGGATTTCGCTGGAAGCGGGAATACATATAAAAAGCACACAGCAGCGTTCTGAGAAACTGCTTTCTGATGTTTGCATTCAAGTCAAAAGTTGAACACTCCCTTTCATAGAGCAGTCTTGAAACACCCCTTTTGTAGTATCTGGAACTGGACTTTTGAAGCGCTTTCAGGGCTAAGGTGAAAAAGGAAATATCTTCCCATAAAAACTGGACAGAAGCATTCTCAGAAACTTGTTTATGCTGTATCTACTCAACTAACAAAGTTGAACCTTTCTTTTGATAGAGCAGTTTTGAAATGCTCTTTTTGTGGAATCTGCAAGTGGATATTTGGCTAGTTTTGAGGATTTCGTTGGAAGCGGGAATTCATACAAATTGCAGACTGCAGCGTTCTGAGAAACATCTTTGTGACGTTTGTATTCAGGACAGAGAGTTGAACATTCCCTATCATAGAGCAGGTTGGAATCACTCCTTTTGTAGTATCTGGAAGTGGACATTTGGAGCGCTTTCTGGCCTATGTTGAAAAAGGAAATATCTTCCCATAACAACTAGACACAAGCATTCTCAGAAACTTGTTTGTGATGTGTGCCCTCTACTGACAGAGTTGAACCTTTCTTTTCATAGAGCAGTTTTGAAACACTCTTTTTGTAGAATCTGCAAGAGGATATTTGCATAGCTTTGAGGATTTCGTGGGAAACGGGATTGTCTTCAGGTAAAATCTAGACAGAAGCATTCTCAGAAACTTCTTTGGGATGTTTGCATTCAAGTCACAGAGCAGAACATTCCCTTTGGTAGAGCAGGTTTGAAACACTCTTTTTGTAGTATCTGGAAGTGGACATTTGGAGCGCTTTCAGGCCTATGTTGGAAAGGGAAATATCTTCCCGTAACAACTAGGCAGAAGCATTCTCAGAAACTTATTTGAGATGTGTGTACTCAACTAAGAGAATTGAACCACCGTTTTGAAGGAGCAGTTTTGAAACACTCTTTTTCTGGAATCTGCAAGAGGATATTTGCCTAGCCTTGAGGATTTCGTTGGAAACGGGATTGTCTTCAGATCAAATCTAGACAGAAGCATTCTCAGAAACTTCTTTGGCATGTTTGCATTCAAGTCACAGAGTAGAACATTCCCTTTGGTAGAGCAGGTTTGAAACACTCTTTTTTTAGTATATGGAAGTGGACATTTGGAGCGCTTTCAGGCCTAAGTTGGAAAAGGAAATATCTTCCCATAACAACTAGACAGAAGCATTCTCAGAAACTAGTTTCTGATGTGTGTCCTCAACTAACACAGTTGTACATTTCTTTAGACAGAACAGTTTTGAAACACTCTTTTTGTGGAATCTGCAAGTGGATATTGGGCTAGATTTGAGGATTTCGTTGGAAACGGGATTACATATAAAAAGCAGTCAGCAGCATTCTCAGAAAGTTCTTTGTGATGATTGCATTCAAGTCACAGAATTGAACATTCCCTTTCACAGAGCAGGTTTGAAACACTCTTTTTGTAGTGTGTGTAAGTGGACATTTGGAGCGCTTTCCGGCCTAAGGTGAAAAAGGACATATCTTCCCATAAAAACTAGACAGAAGCATTCTCAGAAACTTACTCGTGATGTGTGTCCTCAACTAAAGGAGTAGAACCTTTCTATTCATAGAGAAGTTTTGAAACGCTCTTTTTGTGGAATCTCCAAGTGGATATTTGGCTAGTGTTGAGGATTTCGTTGAAAGCGGGAATTCATCCAAATTGCAGACTGCAGCGTTCTGAGAAACATCTTTGTGATGTTTGTATTCAGGACACAGAGATGAACATTCCCTATCATAGAGCAGGTTGGAATCACTCCTTTTGTAGTATCTGGAAGTGGACATTTGGAGCGCTTTCAGGCCTATGTTGAAAAAGGAAATATCTTCCCATAACAACTAGACACAAGCATTCTCAGAAACTTGTTTGTGATGTGTGCCCTCTACTGACAGAGTTGAACCTTTCTTTTCATAGAGCAGTTTTGAAACACTCTTTTTGTAGAATCCGCAAGAGGATATTTGCATCGCTTTGAGGAATTCGTGGGAAACGGGATTGTCTTCAGGTAAAATCTAGACAGAAGCATTCTCAGAAACTTCTTTGGGATGTTTGCATTCAAGTCACAGAGTAGAACATTCCCTTTGGTAGAGCAGGTTTGAAACACTCTTTTTGTAGTATCTGGAAGTGGACATTGGGAGCGCTTTCAGGCCCATGTTGGAAAGGGAAATATCTTCCCGTAACAACTAGGCAGAAGCATTCTCAGAAACTTATTTGAGATGTGTGTACTCAACTAAGACAATTGAACCACCGTTTTGAAGGAACAGTTTTGAAACACTCTTTTGCTGGAATCTGCAAGAGTATATTTGCCTAGCCTTGAGGATTTCGTTGGAAACGGGATTGTCTTCAGATAAAATCTAGACAGAAGCATTCTCAGAAACTTCTTTGGGATGCTTGCATTCAAGTCACAGAGTAGAACATTCCCTTTGGTAGAGCAGGTTTGAAACACTCTTTTTGTAGTATCTGGAAGTGGACATTTGGAGCGCTTTCAGGCCTACGTTGGAAAAGGAAATATCTTCCCATAACAACTAGACAGAAGCATTCTCAGAAACTAGTTTCTGATGTGTGTCCTCAACTAACACAGTTGAACATTTCTTTAGACAGAACAGTTTTGAAACACTCTTTTTGTGGAATCTGCAAGTGGCTATTTGGCTAGATTTGAGGATTTCGTTGGAAACGGGATTACATATAAAAAGCAGTCAGCGGCATTCTCAGAAAGTTCTTTGTGATGATTGCATTCAAGTCACAGAATTGAACATTCCCTTTCACAGAGCAGGTTTGAAACACTCTTTTTGTAGTGTGTGTAAGTGGACATTTGGAGCACTTACCGGCCTAAGGTGAAAAAGGAAATATCTTCCCATAAAAACTAGACAGAAGCATTCTCAGAAACTTACTCGTGATGTGTGTCCTCAACTAAAGGAGTAGAACCTTTCTTTTCATAGAGAAGTTTTGAAACGCTCTTTTTGTGGAATCTGCAAGTGGATATTTGGCTAGTTTTGAGGATTTCGTTGGAAGCGGGAATTCATACAAATTGCAGACTGCAGCGTTCTGAGAAACATCTTTGTGATGTTTGTATTCAGGACACAGAGTTGAACATTCCCTATCATAGAGCAGGTTTGAATCACTCCTTTTGTAGTATCTGGAAGTGGACATTTGGAGCGCTTTCAGGCCTATGTTGGAAAAGGAAATATCTTCCCATAACAACTAGACAGAAGCATTCTCAGAAACTTATTTGAGATGTGTGTACTCAACTAAGAGAATTGAACCACCGTTTTGAAGGAGCAGTTTTGAAACTCTCTTTTTCTGGAATCTGCAAGTGGATATTTGGCTAGCTTTGGGGATTTCGCTGGAAGCGGGAATACATATAAAAAGCACACAGCAGCGTTCTGAGAAACTGCTTTCTGATGTTTGCATTCAAGTCAAAAGTTGAACACTCCCTTTCATAGAGCAGTCTTGAAACACCCCTTTTGTAGTATCTGGAACTGTTCTTTTGGAGCGATTTCAGGGCTAAGGTGAAAAAGGAAATATCTTCCCATAAAAACTGGACAGAAGCATTCTCAGAAACTTGGTTATGCTGTATCTACTCAACTAACAAAGTTGAACCTTTCTTTTGATAGAGCAGTTTTGAAATGGTCTTTTTGTGGAATCTGCAAGTGGATATTTGGCTAGTTTTGAGGATTTCGTTGGAAGCGGGAATTCATACAAATTGCAGACTGCAGCGTTCTGAGAAACATCTTTGTGATGTTTGTATTCAGGACACAGAGTTGAACATTCCCTATCATAGAGCAGGTTTGAATCACTCCTTTTGTAGTATCTGGAAGTGGACATTTGGAGCGCTTTCAGGCCTATGTTGGAAAAGGAAATATCTTCCCATAACAACTAGACAGAAGCATTCTCAGAAACTTATTTGAGATGTGTGTACTCAACTAAGAGAATTGAACCACCGTTTTGAAGGAGCAGTTTTGAAACACTCTTTTTCTGGAATCTGCAAGTGGATATTTGGCTAGCTTTGGGGATTTCGCTGGAAGCGGGAATACATATAAAAAGCACACAGCAGCGTTCTGAGAAACTGCTTTCTGATGTTTGCATTCAAGTCAAAAGTTGAACACTCCCTTTCATAGAGCAGTCCTGAAACACTCCTTTTGTAGTATCTGGAACTGGACTTTTGGAGCGCTTTCAGGGCTAAGGTGAAAAAGGAAATATCTTCCCATAAAAACTGGACAGAAGCATTCTCAGAAACTTACTCGTATTGTGTGTCCTCAACTAAAGGAGTAGAACCTTTCTTTTCATAGAGAAGTTTTGAAACGCTCTTTTTGTGGAATCTGCAAGTGGATATTTGGCTAGTTTTGAGGATTTCGTTGGAAGCGGGAATTCATACAAATTGCAGACTGCAGCGTTCTGAGAAACATCTTTGTGATGTTTGTATTCAGGACACAGAGTTGAACATTCCCTATCATAGAGCAGGTTTGAATCACTCCTTTTGTAGTATCTGGAAGTGGACATTTGGAGCGCTTTCAGGCCTATGTTGGAAAAGGAAATATCTTCCCATAACAACTAGACAGAAGCATTCTCAGAAACTTATTTGAGATGTGTGTACTCAACTAAGAGAATTGAACCACCGTTTTGAAGGAGCAGTTTTGAAACACTCTTTTTCTGGAATCTGCAAGTGGATATTTGGCTGGCTTTGGGGATTTCGCTGGAAGCGGGAATACATATAAAAAGCACACAGCAGCGTTCTGAGAAACTGCTTTCTGATGTTTGCATTCAAGTCAAAAGTTGAACACTCCCTTTCATAGAGCAGTCCTGAAACACTCCTTTTGTAGTATCTGGAACTGGACTTTTGGAGCGCTTTCAGGGCTAAGGTGAAAAAGGAAATATCTTCCCATAAAAACTGGACAGAAGCATTCTCAGAAACTTGGTTATGCTGTATCTACTCAACTAACAAAGTTGAACCTTTCTTTTGATAGAGCAGTTTTGAAATGGTCTTTTTGTGGAATCTGCAAGTGGATATTTGGCTAGTTTTGAGGATTTCGTTGGAAGCGGGAATTCATACAAATTGCAGACTGCAGCGTTCTGAGAAACATCTTTGTGATGTTTGTATTCAGGACACAGAGTTGAACATTCCCTATCATAGAGCAGGTTGGAATCACTCCTTTTGTAGTATCTGGAAGTGGACATTTGGAGCGCTTTCAGGCCTATTTTGGAAAGGGAAATATCTTCCCGTAACAACTATGCAGAAGCATTCTCAGAAACTTGTTTGTGATGTGTGCCCTCTACTGACAGAGTTGAACCTTTCTTTTCATAGAGCAGTTTTGAAACACTCTTTTTGTAGAATCTGCAAGAGGATATTTGCATAGCTTTGAGGATTTCGTGGGAAACGGGATTGTCTTCAGGTAAAATCTAGACAGAAGCATTCTCAGAAAATTCTTCGGGATGTTTGCATTCAAGTCACAGAGTAGAACATTCCCTTTGGTAGAGCAGGTTTGAAACACTCTTTTTGTAGTATCTGGAAGTGGACATTTGGAGCGCTTTCAGGCCTATGTTGGAAAGGGAAATATCTTCCCGTAACAACTAGGCAGAAGCATTCTCAGAAACTTATTTGAGATGTGTGGACTCAACTAAGAGAATTGAACCACCGTTTTGAAGGAGCAGTTTTGAAACACTCTTTTTCTGGAATCTGCAAGAGGATATTTGCATAGATTTGAGGATTTCGTTGGAAACGGGATTGTCTTCAGATCAAATCTAGACAGAAGCATTCTCAGAAACTTCTTTGGGATGTTTGCATTCAAGTCACAGAGTAGAACATTCCCTTTGGTAGAGCAGGTTTGAAACACTCTTTTTTTAGTATATGGAAGTGGACATTTGGAGCGCTTTCAGGCCTACGTTGGAAAAGGAAATATCTTCCCATAACAACTAGACAGAAGCATTCTCAGAAACTAGTTTCTGATGTGTGTCCTCAACTAACACAGTTGAACATTTCTTTAGACAGAACAGTTTTGAAACACTCTTTTTGTGGAATCTGCAAGTGGCTATTTGGCTAGATTTGAGGATTTCGTTGGAAACGGGATTACATATAAAAAGCAGACAGCAGCATTCTCAGAAACTTCTTTGTGATGATTGCATTCAAGTCACAGAATTGAACGTTCCCTTTCACAGAGCAGGTTTGAAACACTCTTTTTGTAGTGTGTGTAAGTGGACATTTGGAGCGCTTTCCGGCCTAAGGTGAACAAGGAAATATCTTCCCATAAAAACTAGACAGAAGCATTCTCAGAAACTTACTCGTGATGTGTGTCCTCAACTAAAGGAGTAGAACCTTTCTTTTCATAGAGAAGTTTTGAAACGCTCTTTTTGTGGAATCTGCAAGTGGATATTTGGCTAGTTTGGAGGATTTCGTTGGAAGCGGGAATTCATACAAATTGCAGACTGCAGCGTTCTGAGAAACATCTTTGTGATGTTTGTATTCAGGACACAGAGTTGAACATTCCCTATCATAGAGCAGGTTTGAATCACTCCTTTTCTAGTATCTGGAAGTGGACATTTGGAGCGCTTTCAGGCCTATGTTGGAAAAGGAAATATCTTCCCATAACAAATAGACAGAAGCATTCTCAGAAACTTATTTGAGATGTGTGTACTCAACTAAGAGAATTGAACCACCGTTTTGAAGGAGCAGTTTTGAAACACTCTTTTTCTGGAATCTGCAAGTGGATATTTGGCTAGCTTTGGGGGATTTCGCTGGAAGCGGGAATACATATAAAAAGCACACAGCAGCGTTCTGAGAAACTTCTTTCTGATGTTCGCATTCAAGTCAAAAGTTGAACACTCCCTTTCATAGAGCAGTCTTGAAACTCCCCTTTTGTGGTATCTGGAAGTGGACATTTGGAGTGCTTTCAGGGCTAAGGTGAAAAAGGAAATATCTTCCCATAAAAACTGGACAGAAGCATTCTCAGAAACTTGTTTATGCTGTATCTACTCAACTAACAAAGTTGAACCTTTCTTTTGATAGAGCAGTTTTGAAATGGTCTTTTTGTGGAATCTGCAAGTGGATATTTGGCTAGTTTTGAGGATTTCGTTGGAAGCGGGAATTCATACAAATTGCAGACTGCAGCGTTCTGAGAAACATCTTTGTGATGTTTGTATTCAGGACACAGAGTTGAACATTCCCTATCATAGAGCAGGTTGGAATCACTCCTTTTGTAGTATCTGGAAGTGGACATTTGGAGCGTTTTCAGGCCTATTTTGGAAAGGGAAATATCTTCCCGTAACAACTATGCAGAAGCATTCTCAGAAACTTGTTTGTGATGTGTGCCCTGTACTGACAGAGTTGAACCTTTCTTTTCATAGAGCAGTTTTGAAACACTCTTTTTGTAGAATCTGCAAGAGGATATTTGCATAGCTTTGAGGATTTCGTGGGAAACGGGATTGTCTTCAGGTAAAATCTAGACAGAAGCATTCTCAGAAACTTCTTTGGGATGTTTGCATTCAAGTCACAGAGTAGAACATTCCCTTTGGTAGAGAAGGTTTGAAACACTCTTTTTGTAGTATCTGGAAGTGGACATTTGGAGCGCTTTCAGGCCTATGTTGGAAAGGGAAATATCTTCCCGTAACAACTAGGCAGAAGCATTCTCAGAAACTTATTTGAGATGTGTGTACTCAACTAAGAGAATTGAACCACCGTTTTGAAGGAGCAGTTTTGAAACACTCTTTTTCTGGAATCTGCTAGAGTATATTTGCCTAGCTTTGAGGATTTCGTTGGAAACGGGATTGTCTTCAGCTAAAATCTAGACAGAAGCATTCTCAGAAACTTCTTTGGGATGTTTCTATTCAAGTCACAGAGTAGAACATTCCCTTTGGTAGAGCAGGTTTGAAACACTCTTTTTGTAGTATCTGGAAGTGGACATTTGGAGCGCTTTCAGGCCTATGTTGGAAAGGGAAATATCTTCCCGTAACAACTAGGCAGAAGCATTCTCAGAAACTTATTTGAGATGGGTGTACTCAACTAAGAGAATTGAACCACCCTTTTCAAGGAGCAGTTTTGAAACACTCTTTTTCTGGAATCTGCAAGAGTATATTTGCCTAGCTTTGAGGATTTCGTTGGAAACGGGATTGTCTTCAGATAAAATCTAGACAGAAGCATTCTCAGAAACTTCTTTGGGTGTTTGCATTCAATTCATAGAGTAGAACATTCCCTTTGTTAGAGCAGGTTTGAAACACTCTTTTTTTAGTATATGGAAGTGGACATTTGGAGCGCTTTCAGGCCTACGTTGGAAAAGGAAATATCTTCCCATAACAACTAGACAGAAGCATTCTCAGAAACTAGTTTCTGATGTGTGTCCTCAACTAACACAGTTGAACATTTCTTTAGACAGAACAGTTTTGAAACACTCTTTTTGTGGAATCTGCAAGTGGCTATTTGGCTAGATTTGAGGATTTCTTTGGAAACGGGATTACATATAAAAAGCTGACAGCAGCATTCTCAGAAAGTTCTTTGTGATGATTGCATTCAAGTCACAGAATTGAACATTCCCTTTCACAGAGCAGGTTTGAAACACTCTTTTTGTAGTGTGTGTAAGTGGACATTTGGAGCGCTTTCCGGCCTAAGGTGAAAAAGGAAATATCTTCCCATAAAAACTAGACAGAAGCATTCTCAGAAACTTACTCGTGATGTGTGTCCTCAACTAAAGGAGTAGAACCTTTCTTTTCATAGAGAAGTTTTGAAACGCTCTTTTTGTGGAATCTGCAAGTGGATATTTGGCTAGTTTTGAGGATTTCGTTGGAAGCGGGAATTCATACAAATTGCAGACTGCAGCGTTCTGAGAAACATCTTTGTGATGTTTGTATTCAGGACACAGAGTTGAACATTCCCTATCATAGAGCAGGTTGGAATCACTCCTTTTGTAGTATCTGGAAGTGGACATTTGGAGCGCTTTCAGGCCCTATGTTGGAAAAGGAAATATCTTCCCATAACAACTAGACAGAAGCATTCTCAGAAACTTATTTGAGATGTGTGTACTCAACTAAGAGAATTGAACCACCGTTTTGAAGGAGCAGTTTTGAAACACTCTTTTTCTGGAATCTGCAAGTGGATATTTGGCTAGCTTTGGGGATTTCGCTGGAGGCGGGAATACATATAAAAAGCACACAGCAGCGTTCTGAGAAACTGCTTTCTGATGTTTGCATTCAAGTCAAAAGTTGAACACTCCCTTTCATAGAGCAGTCCTGAAACACTCCTTTTGTAGTGTCTGGAACTGGACTTTTGGAGCGCTTTCAGGGCTAAGGTGAAAAAGGAAATATCTTCCCATAAAAACTGGACAGAAGCATTCTCAGAAACTTGTTTATGCTGTATCTACTCAACTAACAAAGTTGAACCTTTCTTTTGATAGAGCAGTTTTGAAATGCTCTTTTTGTGGAATCTGCAAGTGGATATTTGGCTAGTTTTGAGGATTTCGTTGGAAGCGGGAATTCATACAAATTGCAGACTGCAGCGTTCTGAGAAACATCTTTGTGATGTTTGTATTCAGGACAGAGAGTTGAACATTCCCTATCATAGAGCAGGTTGGAATCACTCCTTTTGTAGTATCTGGAAGTGGACATTTGGAGCGCTTTCTGGCCTATGTTGAAAAAGGAAATATCTTCCCATAACAACTAGACACAAGCATTCTCAGAAACTTGTTTGTGATGTGTGCCCTCTACTGACAGAGTTGAACCTTTCTTTTCATAGAGCAGTTTTGAAACACTCTTTTTGTAGAATCTGCAAGAGGATATTTGCATAGCTTTGAGGATTTCGTGGGAAACGGGATTGTCTTCAAGTAAAATCTAGACAGAAGCATTCTCAGAAACTTCTTTGGGATGTTTGCATTCAAGTCACAGAGTAGAACATTCCCTTTGGTAGAGCAGGTTTGAAACACTCTTTTTGTAGTATCTGGAAGTGGACATTTGGAGCGCTTTCAGGCCTATGTTGGAAAGGGAAATATCTTCCCGTAACAACTAGGCAGAAGCATTCTCAGAAACTTATTTGAGATGTGTGTACTCAACTAAGAGAATTGAACCACCGTTTTGAAGGAGCAGTTTTGAAACACTCTTTTTCTGGACTCTGCAAGAGGATATTTGCCTAGCCTTGAGGATTTCGTTGGAAACGGGATTGTCTTCAGATCAAATCTAGACAGAAGCATTCTCAGAAACTTCTTTGGGATGTTTGCATTCATGTCACAGAGTAGAACATTCCCTTTGGTAGAGCAGGTTTGAAACACTCTTTTTTTAGTATATGGAAGTGGACATTTGGAGCGCTTTCAGGCCTACGTTGGAAAAGGAAATATCTTCCCATAACAACTAGACAGAAGCATTCTCAGAAACTAGTTTCTGATGTCTGTCCTCAACTAACACAGTTGAACATTTCTTTAGACAGAACAGTTTTGAAACACTCTTTTTGTGGAATCTGCAAGTGGCTATTTGGCTAGATTTGAGGATTTCGTTGGAAACGGGATTACATATAAAAAGCAGACAGCAGCATTCTCAGAAAGTTCTTTGTGATGATTGCATTCAAGTCACAGAATTGAACATTCCCTTTCACAGAGCAGGTTTGAAACACTCTTTTTGTAGTGTGTGTAAGTGGACATTTGGAGCACTTTCCGGCCTAAGGTGAAAAAGGAAATATCTTCCCATAAAAACTAGACAGAAGCATTCTCAGAAACTTACTCGTGATGTGTGTCCTCAACTAAAGGAGTAGAACCTTTCTTTTCATAGAGAAGTTTTGAAACGCTCTTTTTGTGGAATCTGCAAGTGGATATTTGGCTAGTTTTGAGGATTTCGTTGGAAGCGGGAATTCATACAAATTGCAGACTGCAGCGTTCTGAGAAACATCTTTGTGATGTTTGTATTCAGGACACAGAGTTGAACATTCCCTATCATAGAGCAGGTTTGAATCACTCCTTTTCTAGTATCTGGAAGTGGACATTTGGAGCGCTTTCAGGCCTATGTTGGAAAAGGAAATATCTTCCCATAACAAATAGACAGAAGCATTCTCAGAAACTTATTTGAGATGTGTGTACTCAACTAAGAGAATTGAACCACCGTTTTGAAGGAGCAGTTTTGAAACACTCTTTTTCTGGAATCTGCAAGTGGATATTTGGCTAGCTTGGGGATTTCGCTGGAAGCGGGAATACATATAAAAAGCACACAGCAGCGTTCTGAGAAACTGCTTTCTGATGTTTGCATTCAAGTCAAAAGTTGAACACTCCCTTTCATAGAGCAGTCTTGAAACACCCCTTTTGTAGTATCTGGAACTGGACTTTTGGAGCGATTTCAGGGCTAAGGTGAAAAAGGAAATATCTTCCCATAAAAACTGGACAGAAGCATTCTCAGAAACTTGTTTATGCTGTATCTGCTCAACTAACAAAGTTGAACCTTTCTTTTGATAGAGCAGTTTTGAAATGCTCTTTTTGTGGAATCTGCAAGTGGATATTTGGCTAGTTTTGAGGATTTCGTTGGAAGCGGGAATTCATACAAATTGCAGACTGCAGCGTTCTGAGAAACATCTTTGTGATGTTTGTATTCAGGACAGAGAGTTGAACATTCCCTATCATAGAGCAGGTTGGAATCACTCCTTTTGTAGTATCTGGAAGTGGACATTTGGAGCGCTTTCAGGCCTATGTTGAAAAAGGAAATATCTTCCCATAACAACTAGACACAAGCATTCTCAGAAACTTGTTTGTGATGTGTGCCCTCTACTGACAGAGTTGAACCTTTCTTTTCATAGAGCAGTTTTGAAACACTCTTTGTGTAGAATCTGCAAGAGGATTTTTGCATAGCTTTGGGGATTTCGTGGGAAACGGGATTGTCTTCAGGTAAAATCTAGACAGAAGCATTCTCAGAAACTTCTTTGGGATGTTTGCATTCAAGTCACAGAGTAGAACATTCCCTTTGGTAGAGCAGGTTTGAAACACTCTTTTTGTAGTATCTGGAAGTGGACATTTGGAGCGCTTTCAGGCCTATGTTGGAAAGGGAAATATCTTCCCGTAACAACTAGGCAGAAGCATTCTCAGAAACTTATTTGAGATGTGTGTACTCAACTAAGAGAATTGAACCACCGGTTTGAAGGAGCAGTTTTGAAACACTCTTTTTCTGCAATCTGCAAGAGGATATTTGCCTAGCCTTGAGGATTTCGTTGGAAACGGGATTGTCTTCAGATCAAATCTAGACAGAAGCATTCTCAGAAACTTCTTTGGGATGTTTGCATTCAAGTCACAGAGTAGAACATTCCCTTTGGTAGAGCAGGTTTGAAACACTCTTTTTTTAGTATATGGAAGTGGACATTTGGAGCGCTTTCAGGCCTACGTTGGAAAAGGAAATATCTTCCCATAACAACTAGACAGAAGCATTCTCAGAAACTAGTTTCTGATGTGTGTCCTCAACTAACACAGTTGAACATTTCTTTAGACAGAACAGTTTTGAAACTCTCTTTTTGTGGAATCTGCAAGTGGCTATTTGGCTAGATTTGAGGATTTCGTTGGAAACGGGATTACATATAAAAAGCAGACAGCAGCATTCTCAGAACGTTCTTTGTGATGATTGCATTCAAGTCACAGAATTGAACATTCCCTTTCACAGAGCAGGTTTGAAACACTCTTTTTATAGTGTGTGTAAGTGGACATTTGGAGCACTTTCCGGCCTAAGGTGAAAAAGGAAATATCTTCCCGTAAAAACTAGACAGAAGCATTCTCAGAAACTTACTCGTGATGTGTGTCCTCAACTAAAGGAGTAGAACCTTTGTTTTCATAGAGAAGTTTTGAAACGCTCTTTTTGTGGAATCTGCAAGTGGATATTTGTCTAGTTTTGAGGATTTCGTTGGAAGCGGGAATTCATACAAATTGCAGACTGCAGCGTTCTGAGAAACATCTTTGTGATGTTTGTATTCAGGACACAGAGTTGAACATTCCCTATCATAGAGCAGGTTGGAATCACTCCTTTTGTAGTATCTGGAAGTGGACATTTGGAGCGCTTTCAGGCCTATGTTGGAAAAGGAAATATCTTCCCATAACAACTAGACAGAAGCATTCTCAGAAACTTATTTGAGATGTGTGTACTCAACTAAGAGAATTGAACCACCGTTTTGAAGGAGCAGTTTTGAAACACTCTTTTTCTGGAATCTGCAAGTG